>NC_000002.12:17661270-17812785 GCF_000001405.40 Homo sapiens | reverse complement strand
GTGCCCAGCCTGCTCTGTCTTCTTTATCAAGAGCATTCATTACATGAGGAGGGTGTACCAAGGGATCATTAAACTCCCGTCTAGCTACAAAATGCCATGAAACATGTTACTACCATGTGAATATGCTTGGTTAAAAGAGCACTGTACCAGCATGAAGGCATTTGGGGATATCATTGAGTCCATCATTTCTTTAAATCTGCATTCTACACATGGTGAATGACTTGCTCAATGTCATACCCAAAGGCTGTGGCAGAGATGGAAAGAGAAAAGCCAAAGTTGCCTGCCTCCCATATCTGTCCTTTTTCTTCCTTTGAAACTAATAGGACTAATTGCAAAGTATTCACATCAGGCAGACTACGTATTTCCCACATTACTGATTTATTGGGATAAATATTTTACTTCAAATGTCATTCAAGCAACAGATATTTATAAGCTATTGTGACTATGACTGTGACAGATTGAAAAGAGGCCCCCAACCTTGAGGCCCACTCTCAAGAGACCTTGAAAAATGTTCAGGTCCTATTTTCCAAAGTATAAGACAAAGGTACAGGTTGTTTCATCTCTCAAATCCCAGGCCTTCATATTGACCTTTTTATTGTAGCTACACTCACTAAGGAGGATCCCAGATTTGCCATACATATTAATAAGTGGTCTGTGTCTAATTTTCAGAATGATGAGCTTCTGAGGGAATGCTGGTCATGTTCCTGACAACAGTCAGGACAACTGGGCATTTCACACTGGCCTCAGAGGATTGTAAACTCTACATTTAAGAGCCAGGAAGCTTTCTTGAGGCAGAGCCACTTCCAGGAAATTGGCAAATAGTGCTCAAAGGATAGACAGAAAACAGAAATCAAGAGGCTGATGGAATTCCTTAAGCTGTGGCCACCGGTGGTTCCATGCCATTACCAGCCCATACGGCTCCTTTGTGCAAATTACAAAACAACCAAGCTAAGGCTTATTTCAGCCCTGCTTGCCTCTTCAGCCCAGCACCTTTGTGCAGGGTGCACCCTCCTCAAGCAGTGGCCCTGGGAGCCCCTGTGATGTGCCTCCTCTGCAATGTTAGCATTTTTAGTACTTTGGTGGCTGTTTGAACATCGGTGAACAGATAGAACATGGGGGTAGTGGCAAGAGTGCAGGAATAGGAGCCAGGTCAAACCTGTCACATCTTACATTTCCTCCTCTGTTATTGTGACCTGGGACACATGAATCAATCTTTCTCAGCTTCAGCTTCATCTTCATCTGTGCAATTGAAATACTAATACTTGCCTTATAGAGTACACGCTTTTAGCAGGTTTACACATTGTAAACTGTAAGTGTGGTAACTAATGTTGCTGTAATTATTAATCTTGTGCTGGGGCAGGGTGCTGTAGCTCATGCTTGTAATCCCAGCACTTTGGGAGGCCAAGGTGGGTGGATCACGAGGTCAGGAGATCGAGAGCATCCTGGCCAACATGGTGAAACCCCGTCTCTACTAAAAATACAAAATTAGCTCGGTGTGGTGGCATGTGCCTGTAATCCCAGCTACTTGGGAGGCTGAGGCAGGAGAATCACTTGAACCTGGGAGGCGGAGATTGCAGTGAGCCGAGATCGTGCCACTGTACTCCAGCCTGGTGACAGAGCAAGACTCCATCTCAAAAAAACAAACAAACAAAAATCTTGTGCTGGGTACATTCTTGGTTCCTTGAGTCAAGAGAAGTTAGAGCCACAATACAAGTAGCCACAAATATATCACTCCCACTTTCTCTTGGCCTCAAGTCCCCCCTGCTTAGAAACCAAAATCCCTCCATTCAAATGTAATCTTTCTTTTTTAATGGAACCAGAGTAGTGGCGTACCCTGGATGGGTGGTGAGAACCTTCAGCCTCTGGTGTAGGCAATAAAGGGAGGTATTGTCTACATATAATTTTAAAACAGTGATAATGCTTGGCTAAAAGTTGGTCTTTATCTTATTATAACCATGTAGTGGCAATTCTAAACAATGACAATAATAAAATGACTCCTCTTTAGGGAAGCCCACTCCCACCAACACCCCCATCCTTGGTACACCACTGCCAAAGAGAACTTGGAATTCAGTCTAGAAATGTGGAACTGTCACTCAAGGCACCCAAATCCTCTACTTTACTATGGAAATTTGAGTGAGTCATTCAACCTTTGCGGACCTCAGTTTCCTTGTGTGAAAATTAGGAATCTTATATATTGTGTTGCTATGACATTTTTAAAAATTAAAAAATTGAGACTTGACTTTGGAAAGTATGAAAGAGTATAGGGATATGTTTTGATATTACCAAGATTAACAAAAATACTTTCACCAATGCAATTATCTGCTCCAAACCCAGCCATTTGCCATGATACATGACACCAGGTAAATCAGCATGGAAGGTGGTTCATGCTCCTTTAAAAGCCTGTCTCATGAGAAATAGGACCGTCTCAGACCTTTGAGAAGCATCAAGGTTGAGGGTCTATTTCTCTTGTGATCTCCTGGATCCCTGTTCTACATGAGGTAGTTTGTATGGGCCATTTGTTCGAGTCAGAGGGAGGACTCCAGTGAATTCCAACTCCTAATAATGCTTCAGAAAAGCCTTCCATAGATAAGAATTTGGTCAATAAACTAAGAAATCTAACCCTGGAGTCTAATTAAAATGAGGGTGAACCTTTATTGCATTCCTGCCATGTGCTGAGAACCAGACTTTTCTCTTTCAGGTTCATTAGTTAATCTTAATTTTCGCAGCAATTTTGAAAGATAGAGGTTCTAATCCACAACCTAAAGATGAAGAAATTTGTGTTCAGAAAGAGACCCAGCAGACACAGCAAGAGGATGGGAAAAGTAGAATGCGATCTAAGTCTGTGTGAATTCCAAATCCCCCCGTACTACATAATTATAATTTCAAATTCTACTCTACTACACTATTTCCCAAAAACAGCTTCATACATGTAATGTAATCACTGGGAATAGGTACAAGATGCAAGGCTTGGTTCCAATCTTGCCTCTTCCATGAAGCTTTCCCTGCCTGCCTCAGCCCTTGGAATTTCCCACTTTTCTGATCAGTAGCACTTAGATTTGGCACCATTCATTTGCCATTAATATTTACCACCTGATATTCTGGTTCTCTGTTCACATGGATATGACTTATTCCCATCAGCTACATTGAAACGTCTTTAAAGATATAGATGATGGCTTTTCTATCTCTTAGCATGGTGCCAGGAGCTCAGAAGATGACTAGTCCTTTGGTCTTTGGGCTTTTACTTGGCGCATGCTGGGTGCCAAATACTGTACTGGGTGCTGAGGACAGAAAGTCAAATTAAAAAGCGTTTGTCTTCAAGTTGCTCAGGGTATTGAAGGTGGTAATAGAGAAATAAACTACTTATGAAACAATGTCAAAAATGCTTTGATAAATTTAACCATAGGGCACAATCTGCACAACTGTATGTGACAGCCTTGGGAGCCCTCTGTAACTAACTTGTCTCTTTTACAATGTTAGCACTTTAGTACTTCACTTGTTGTCCAGACATTGGTGGATGGATAAAAAGTGATATTGGTGACAAGAGGACAACCTTGGGGGCAGACAAAACCTGGGTCAAATCTTACAAATATTTAACATACAAACCAGGCACTCAGTGGAAGGCCACAAAAGTAAATCTGGAAGGCTTTCTGAAAGACATGACTCCTACAGGCTTGTTTGTTTGTTTGTTTGTTTTGAGACAGAGTCTCGTTCTGTCACCCAGGCTAGAGTGCAGTGCAGTGGCATGCAGTGGCGTGATCACGAGTCACTGCAGCCTCAACCTCCTGGGCTCAAGTGATTTTCCCACCTCAGCCTCCTTATAGCTGGGACTACAGGTGCACACCACCATGCCTGGCTAACTTTTGTATTTTTTGTAGGGATGGAGTTTTGCCATGTTGCCCAGGCTGATCTTGAACTCCTTGGCTCAAGCAATTCTCTTGCCTCAGCCTCCCAAAGTGTTGGTATTACAGGTTGTTATAGACCTGTTTTTAAATTAACACTCCTATTTGTTCTTAAAGATGCTCCTTAAAAAGCAGGGCTTTTTTTTTTTCTAGGTGAAAGGTGGAGAGAACATTCTAGGCATTACTTGAAGGCTTGATAGAGCATGCACGATTTGTGCAAGAAATTGAGAGCTGTTCCATGTTCCACAAGGTCAAGTGAAGGCAAAGAGCAGACATTGGAGGTAAAGCTGAAAAGCAGAGCCTCGTCTGCAATGATAAGACACTTGGACTTTATCTTGGAGATGACAAGGAGCTTCTGGTGGGAGTTCGCAAGGGTGAGATTTGGTCAGCAGTGCACTGGAGCCTCACTCTGCTTGTTTGTGGGGAAGGTGTTTGAGTGTTCTATTGGTTCTCCAGGGTTCACAGGGAAACAGAACCAATAGGATGGATGGATGGATGGATGGATGGATGGATGGATGGATGGATGAATAGAGGTGAAGTCCCACAGTCTGCTGTCTGCAAGCTGTATACCCAGGAAAGTCTGTGGTATTGTTCAAAGGCCTGAGAGCCAGAGAGGCAACAGATGGTGTAGATTCCAGTCAAGATCTGAAGGCCGGAGAACTAGGAGCACTGAAAACCACTGAGGACAGGAGATTGATGTCCCAGCTTAAGGAGTCAGGCAGAGAGACCACTCAACTTTCCTCAGTCTTCTTGTTCTTTTCAAGCCCTGAGGGGATGATGCCCACCCACAGTATCTACTTTACACAGTCTACCAGTTCACATGCTAATCTCTCCTGAAAATACCCTTGCAAACACACCTGGAAATAATGTAGAACCAGCTACTTGGGCATCCTGTGGCCCAGGCAAGTTGGCACATAAAATTAATCATCACCCGTGGAGCACGACTAGAGGCAGAGTGCACCAGTAATATTCCAGGTGCTTAGCACAGATGAACCCACATTCATCCTCACAACAACCCTAAGGGGTAGGTGCTATTATCATCACCAATCCTGTTTTACTGATAAGAAATTGAGGCACAGAGGAGTTAAGTAACTTGCCCAAGGCCCCAGGATGAGAGCCTAGGCAGGCTGACTGGAGCCTAGGCTTTTACCCACCAGTTGGAGGCATCTGCACGATGGGCCCTGCAAAGCTGTTGAAGCTGGAACTCAGGCTTGACCTGAGACTTGGTAAATCCTAAAAGATTGATTGATTGATTCCTTGGCCCCATTCAGTCATGTATCCAGTGTGTACAGAGCACCTGAGATTAGCCAGAGTCCTGGGTCCTATAGGTACTAAAAAGATTAAGTAGGTTTAGACTTCTATCATCATTCCTAAATTAGATGGTTGGTTGGACATGACAGGCGTCCACATAACTACTTATTGCCCTGGTTAGCGAACAGGCCTGACTCTTATAGTTTTGAAGGAGTGCCGTGTGTGTATTTGTGTTTGTGTGTGCTCGTGTGTGTTGGGGGAAGGTGTTTGAGTGTTCTATTGGTTCTCCAGTGAAGCTGTATGTATGAAGCTGTTTCTGAGAAATAGTGTAATCTTTAGAGGCACCGCCTTCCTTGGCCATCCCCACAGTTATCTCAGCTATGATAGCAATAATAATAATAAATGTCTCTACTACTAAGTGCTACTAAGTGCTCCATTTAAATCTTATAAAAATATTATTTCTTTTCCTATCTTACTTTTTTTTTCCTTTTCTTTATTCATTTTTTTTTCTTTTTGAGACAAGGTCTGGTTCTATTGCCCAGGTTGGAGTGCAGTGGCACGATCTCGGCTCACTGCAACCTCCACCTCCTGGGGTCAAGCCATCCTCCCACCTCAACCTCCCAAGTAGCTGAAACTACAGGCATGTGACCCCATGCCCAGCTAATTTTTTTTCTTTTTCTTTTTTTTTTTTTTTTGTAGAGATGAGGTTTCACCATGTTGCCCAGGCTGGTCTCAAACTGATGAGCTCAAGTGATCCACCCACCTCAGCCTCCCAAAGTGTCGGGATTACAGGTGTGAACCACCATACCCAGCCTTCTGTTCCCACCTTAAATAAGAAAAAACTGAGGCTTATAGAAGTTAAAAAAAAAAAGTTACCCCAAGTGACCAGATTTGTAAGTGGAAGAGCACAATTTAGACCTAGGCAGTCTGACCCCAGGATCACAAGACTTCAGCGAGTGATGTTATGTTCCGAGAGAGGAGATAGGTGAACGAGGATTTTGGAAGGACCCCTCATTGTGAGGTTTGTAGTTGCTTTACATCTTTGGGTTTGCAGTTCCAGAATAGAAGGCAGCTGTCATTCCCTACCACTTCTAGTGCTTTCCCTGGCCTTAGGCCACATTATTATTATTATCAAGCAGCAGGTAAAGGTGATATTTAATTATATTTTCCTAGAATTAAACACTTTATATAGAACATTCTTTTAAAAATAAAATCCTTTTGTATATTAATATTGATAACAGTAATACACTTTCCATTTTTTGAGTACTTACAGCACGTACTCTATGCTAGGAGCTAAAAATAAGGGCCTTGCATACATTCACTCATGTCATCCTCCATACAGTCCAGTTAGGTAGGCATTATCATCATCTTACAAGGGAAGAAGCAAAGCTCAGATGCTAAGGACCTTGCCCAAGGTCATGGGACACAGCTTCTTTCCAAACCATAGCCACACCCATCGGCTCTGCAGCTGCCACACCGAGAGCCAGCTGCAGTACTCTCGCCCATCCCTGCCCTCACTGCTTGTCTCTGAGACACTCAGACCCTGCTGGCTCTGTGCACCCTGATTTCAGTAGCTGTATTTTGCTGTGGGGGCTCCTGCCCACCCTGAGCTCTACACACTCCCCTGACTTTTGTACACTCCATAGTACCTTCTTATAGCCACAGCCATACAGAACTCCACTGGCCAGCCCAGCCCTGGCCTTCCAGTCATGGGACAGAGCCTGTGTGTGTACAGTTAGACATAAGTTGGGCCAGGAGTGGTGGCTCATGCCTGTGATCCCAGCACTTTGGGAGGCCGAGATGCGTGGACCACTGAAGGTCAGGAGCTCAAGACCAGCCTGGCCAAGATGGTGAAATTCCGTCTCTACTAAAAATGCAAAAATTAGCCAGGGTGTAGTGGCCAGCGCCTGTAATCTCAGCTACTTGGGAGGCCGAGGCAGGAGAATCTCTTTAACATGGGAGGCGGAGGATGCAGTAAGCCGAGATCATGCCACTGCACTCTGCCTGGGCAACAGAGTGAGACTCTGTCTCAAAAAAAAAAAAAAAAAAAAAAAAGTTAAAAACCTGGGCCCTTTCACACTGCCACACAGTCTTGGCACTCAGCTAACATTCACCAGAAAATAGATAATTCTTGTGGGGCAAAGGGAATATAGGTGTGTGTGTATGTGTGAAGAAAACAACTAAGTGAAATGTGACATTTTCCTGTGTCCTTGAGTTAGCAAAGAGAACTGAAAGTGGTGCTCTCCTGCATGGATAGCGGCCTGGAGCTGCTGTGCTGTCAAGCCTGTGACAGTTTCAGCAAAGCCTGTGTGAGGCTCTTGGGACTGTGACTTTCATGTGACTGCCATTATGCTAAGGAAATAATAAAAGTAGTTGGGCCTCGTGATTTGACTTTATGGCTCATTGTAAAGCCAAAGAGTAACATTTTGGTTTTGATCCATTTAATAATAAATTGTAGAGCATCATGCAATGTGTGAACAGATGATTTTCACAGGCTGGGTATTTAACCCTTGGGCAGGACAAAGCAACAGACAAATAAACGGCAACAAAATAATTAAACTTAATTCACAGGAGAAGTGAGAAACAGAAGAGTTCTAAACTGTAGAAATCCTTTAGAACAGAGTCTTGTGGACTTCTCCAGCCTGACCAGAAGTTTTGTTTTTCTTCATCCCCTTCACTAGGTGGTCATGAGGAAAAGCAGCATTCTCCCTCCCAAACACCTGGGATGCTCCCTTTCTCAAGCACTTCCACTGTCTGGGCTCAGGACCCTGTCTCATCAGCTCGCTCCACAGTCAAATGCCTTGTGAATTTTCTTTGCCAAATGAATGTGCACAGAAGCCAAGGCAGCGTGGTTTACTCTAAAAAGAATCCATTTGGGGGCAGCCATGTCCCTGCGGGGTCCCTGGCACCTGAATATAAACCTCTTTCTCTTTTGAAAATATTACTAAATATGTTAATTTGGGAACAAAATGCAGTCACCATGTCCACCCACAATGGGCAGTTATGCAGAAGATAGGAGGGTGGCAGAGAGGGGACTGCAAAGTGTGGGTGAAGAAACATAAGAGAAGAGGAAGAGGGTAATAAAAAGAGGAACAGAAGCTCATTCTCCCTGGAGAGCATCAGGGCAGGATGCTGTGATTATTCTTATTGCAAGGAAATATGAGCAGCTTGTCTTGATTCGGCAATCTCAGAATGTCAACATTTATCCCCAAATAGCCAAGTTTTCTGTCACCAACTCGGGAGGGGTAGCAGCCTTGAGTGCTTCTCCATGGATT
The DNA here is from genome assembly GCF_000001405.40 of Homo sapiens. Taxonomy (NCBI): domain Eukaryota; kingdom Metazoa; phylum Chordata; class Mammalia; order Primates; family Hominidae; genus Homo; species Homo sapiens. The sequence goes on along the minus strand of NC_000002.12, from coordinate 17,804,360 downwards.
CTTCAGCAACTGGCCAGCAAGATTTAAATGAAATCTCATGTGTTACATTTACACCTACTCCCCCTTTTAAGTTGGATTCTTTATTACCACTGGTATTTGGGGTGGCATTTTAATACCCATGTCAAAAAGTTGAAAGCAATTTGCACGGAGTTTGTTCTCCAAGGATTCTCCCCTGTTCTTACCAGCCTGAGAAGAAGAAAAGTGCAACATTACTTCTTCATTTTTCTTCAGTGATGACAAAAGTCCTGTTATTAAAGTGAATACTAAAAATGGTTGTCTGCATAATGAACCTGCTTATTTTCACAAACTTTAGCCTTTGCTTTTGAGTGTTTTCAATTCAGATTTCCATACTTGCCAGTTAACTGACACCTAAAAAGCAGATATAAGGCAAAGAAGAAATTGGGGGAAATATTTTTCAGTTTTTTGATACGGGATAGTCAAACATGACAGGTAAAACATTATTGCTATGAAGAACTCACACAGATAAGAAAAATACAAGCTTGCCACTGGGAAAATGAACAAGGGCATAAATAAACAGCTCACAGAAAAAGAAATACAAGTGGCTCATAAACATAGAAGAAAATGTTCACCTCGGTAGTAATCAAAGACATGTAAATGGAAATGACAAGGCAAGGCCGTTTTTCACCTCCCAAATTGGCAAAGTTGGCAAGAGGATGAGGAAGTGGTCCTTCCCACACATTGCTTGTGGGAGAGTCAGTTGGTTCAATTTTTAAAGTAACTTAAAGTCCAAAATTCATCTTAGATTCAAAAGTACTTTTGACACAAGGACTTTATACAACTAAACAAAGTTACAGTCAAATATTTAGGATAAAAAATATTCGCCATAGTCTTACAGTAAAAAATTAGAAACAAATATCTAATAGCAAAGAGGTAATTGCATACATTATTTCCTATTCATATGATGAAATATTATATAGTTGATAAAGAAATCATTATGAATAACATTTAATATACAAAGCTTAATTTAATATTAAGGCTTTTAAGTAGGACATATAAAATTAATACTTTGATCCAATTGAAAATTCTTTCTCATAGAAATATGACTAAGTGTTAAGAGTGGTTACTTCTGGTAACAGGAATTGAGAGTATTTTTTTCTTCATTCATCTTACTTTCTTCTAGTGGTTAGGAGCCAGAGTTCCTAGGCTCCAACCTTGACTTCTCTGCTTACTTAACTAAGTGATTATAAGCAGGTAACTTCATTTCTTAATGTCTCAGTTCCTCTACTTGAAATAAAGGGATAATAACAACAGCTACTTTACAAGATTGTTGTAAAGATCAATATACATAAAGAAATGTCATACTACTGCCCTCAGACATTGTCAGTACTCAATTGTTGCTATCGTCTTGACAGTTGTCAGTATTTTCTAAATTAAAAAAGATTACTGATTTAAAAATTAGAATTTCAAAACCAGTGAATGGTCAAGGCTGGCCTGATTAGGTCCATGTGCAAATGAAAAAGATTCAGGAATCACAGGCGCTCTCAAGTTGAATCAAAGCATATGGGTAGTACACTTATTTAAATATTTAAAAAAAAAAAAAAAGCAGGCAGGAAGGAAGGGAGGGAGGGAGGAGCTTCAGGTGGAAGTGCTCCTGTAAAGATGACTGGGACATTGACAGGTAGGATATAAGGTTTGCTGAGACCTTGTTGGAGTTCCGTGTTTCATTTGCAAAGAGTAGAAAGAAGTGGAGAAGAGACTCAGAGGAGGACAACAAGAAAGATGAAAGAGAGGAAATGTTGTTTCATGAAAAAAAGTTCCAGTCTTTTCCATCCCAGAAGTGTAGCTACTGAGCAGTTGAAGAACTATGCTCAGCCCCTTGTGGACTGAGTGGTTACCCTCCATCTCCAGCAGGTATGAAGCCCACGGATAAGCCTCTCGCTGTAGGGAATCATAGAGTTCACATTCACAGCATTCCCACACTTCCCTGCTATCAAGAATCACCTGGGGAGAGGGAAAGCATATTTTTAAAAAGACGGTTCCGCCGGGTGCAGTGGCTCATGGCTGTAATTCCAGCACTTTGGGAGGCCGAGGCGTGTGGATCACGAGGTCAGGAGTTCAAGACCACCCTAGGCAAGATGGTGAAATCCCGTTTCTACTAAAAATAAAAAAAATAGCCAGGTGGGGTGGCGGGTGCCTATAATCCCAGCTACTCGGGAGGCTGAGGCAGAGAATTGCTTGAACCCAAGAGGCGGAGGTTGCAGTGAGCCGAGATATTGCCACTGCACTCCAGCCTGGGAGACAGAGCGAGACTCCATCTCAAAAAAAAAAAAAAGAGGATTCCTAGGCTCCTCTCCTGGAGATTCTGACTTGGTAAAGTCAGAGCTGGGGCCTGGTAGTGTAACCACCCAAGGGTTCACCTTGCCCACTGCCTAGACAGAGCCCATTTATCAAGACAGGGGAATTGCAATAGAGAAAGAGTAATGCACACAGAACCAGCAGTGCGGGAGACCAGAGTTTTATTATCACTCAAATCAGTCTCCTCAGAATTCAGGGATCAGAGTTGTTACGGATAATTTGGTGGGTAGGGGCCAGTGAGTCAGGAGTACTGATCGGTTGGGTGGGAGATGAAGTCAGAGAGAGTCGAAGCTGTCCTCTTGCGCTCAGTCAGTTCCTGGGTAGGGGCCACAGATCAGATGAGCCAGTTTATCAATCTGGGTGGTGCCAGCTGATCCATCAAGTGCAGGGTCTACAAAATATCTCAAGTACTAATTTTAGGTCTTACAATAGCGATATTATTCTCGGGACCAATTTGGGGAGGGTCGGAAACTTGTAGCCTCCAGCTGCATGACTCCTAAACCATAATTTCGAATCTTTTGGCTAACTTTTTGGTCCTACAAAGGCAGTCTAGTCCCCAGTCAAGAAAGGGATTTGTTTCAGGAAAGGAGTAGTATTGTCTTTGTTTCAAAGTTAAACTATAAACTAAGTTCCTCCCAAAGTTAGTTTGGCCTATGTCCAGGAATGAACAAGGACAGCTTGGAGATTAGAAGCAAGATGGAGTTGAGTTGGTTAGGTCAGATCTCTTTCACTGTAATAATTTTGCAACAGCAGTTTTAATAGTCTCTAGTGAAGAACTGATGACTTGGACAGAACAAAGGCCTCCCAGGATACAAGAGCACTGAGCTGGGTGGCAGGATGCCAACAGCACCCCCAGGGCTGGCCACTTTGTCTAGATTGTTAAACAGAGATAAAACCACAGATACAGGGAGCAGGACCAGGTGATTGTTACACTTTTATAACTCCTTGACTTTTCATACTACTAAAATCTCTCCTGATAAATTCTCTGCCTGCCATTTAAGACTATTTCTGGTCTGGCCTATCCCAACTCTTCCAACTTTATGTCTTCCTGGTCCCCAGGCCCATTCTCTGCCTGATTCCAGGATAATGCTACACTGTCCATATACCACATTTTCTTTTCTTGGCCTTTGCCTGGCTTGTGTCCCTCACTCAACTGTCCCTTCCTCTCCCTTGACCTCTCAGATTCTACCACTCCCGCTAAGCCAGGGCCAACTGTTTTCTCCAGAAACACTCTGCCTCCTCCAGTTCTCAGTGACCAATTATCTGGATGCCCACAGAAGCTTACTGTAGTGTCCTATATTTTCTAGCAATTTTTTCACTTTAAACATAGAAACAAGGACCTTAATAATTAATAGTACAAGAATGCTGTCATATAGTTTGTAAAAGATTATCATATCGATTACATCTTTGGAGCATCACAACAGTCTCATGAGGTGGGTAATGGTTGTTATCTCTGGAGAGTTCAGAAAACCAAAGTTCAAAGAGGGAGGTTTTTTGTGCTTGCTTATGGTAAAACTACCAGCAAGTGGCAGCATTAAAAGACCGTACCACTGGTAAAAGGCATAGGGGGTTCCCTAAAACTCGAAACAGAGGAGTTTAATGAATGGCTGTCTTTGTTGTCTAGACCCGAGGGAGGGACAAGACAGTGGACTTTAAAGAACAGCTGCACGTGGAGCTGTGACTGTCATCCACACACTCAGATAAATGGTTGGCTCATTATTGCAGCTGCTGCTGGCTTTAGGGAGCTGGACAGCTGTTGCCAGGAGATGGATTCAAACAGAACAGAGAAAACGGAATCCTGTGATAATGACTGTGCCTGTATGTATGGACACGATGTTCTTTCTTCTCATAGCTCAAAATGTTCTAAAGATAAAATCTAATGATTTCTTATAGGAAGGCTAGGCTTGGTGGGTACAAGTAAGAAAGCCAAGCAGAGAGAAGGTAAGTGTCTCAACTCGCCTTTCCAGGGCATTCTCAAAAATGAAGACTTTTGGGGGGCTACACGGCCCTTTCAATAATTTGTGAGAGCATTTGTGATAGGCTCTCCAGAAGCGTATTCCTGGCAGAGCTGGGCAACACTAGCAGTGTCTGTGCTAAGGACAGACGAAAGGATCAGAGACAATGCCCTCACTCCCCTCCCCTCCCTTCTCCTCTCCTCCCTTCCCTACAATACGTACCTCATGGAGCTTAGCATTTTGTTCTCATGCTGTAGGGACTGTGCCTGCTGATGACTCCTTGGCCTGTTTTCTCATTGATATGTTTGTTATTCATCTTGTCACTAAAGCTTCCTGGTCCTTCTCCACCTTTCCCTTTCCTCCAGTCTGGACTTTGCCTTCTCCACCTCCTTGGAAGACAGGCTGCTCATCCCATTGTGGTGTCTCGGCTGGTGTATGTTTTCTGCCTAGGGTGAGTGGTGCCATCCTACTGCCTTTCCAAATCCTAATTGTTTTTTCTGATCTACTCTGACTCCCAGCAGTCACCACTTCGTGGTCTTGATGGCCTCTGTTGTGCTTAGAGTTGGTGCTGCACAGCCCAACACAGGATTTCCTCCTATGGGAAAGTCCCCTCAATTAGACTAGAAGCAGGGACAGGAAGGAGGACCTGCCCTTCTGCTGATCACCCTCAGCTGCCCAGCACTGGCTCTGTATGTGTGTGTATTCAGCACCCACTTGCTTGAGAATCTTTCTTTCTCTACTTTTTTAAACTCACTTTTCTGATTTAAATTATCCTGTTTTATGATATGAACTTATAGTTATGAAATAGTTACGAAGTTACGTGGAGTACTTTCCATGCATTTTGATTAGTACTTTATCTCACAGCTTAATGGACAGCACGAGGAGGTAGGGACTGACGTTACCCATGTTTTACAGTGGAAGAACCTGAGGCTTAAAGAGGTAAGATAACTTGCTGCAGGTCACACGCTGGTGGTCCAAATGCCTTAACTGGTTGCTACAATGCCATGCATAAACCAAGTTAAGAGTTGTAGCATAATGAACGTTTCAAATGAATTGGTGGGCTGGCATTTGGGAAACAGAGTGTTCCTCTGCAAAGGCTGGGCTCCTGCCACCATATCCTGGGGCTTCATCTGGGAATGGATATGGTCCAACCCAGGGTTTGGTCCTCCTTAGGTGTTGAGGTGGAAAGCATTACACTGCTGGTGACAACCAGCTTGGGGGGTTCCAAACTCTAGTCCTTGCAGCTCTGTATGCTGATTATTTGACCTCAGAGGATCTAGGAAACAGGGCTGAAACTCAGGTTTTCTCAGGAGATGTCTGTTTCCCGAAAAGCTACCTCAGAGAAACTTACATCTGTGGGCACTATCTTGGAGGCAATTCTGTGTTGGCGAAAGTGATCGTCCTTTTTCCTAATTGAACCAATTATGGTTGAATGATGAGGTAAGCTAATCAATGAACTCTCCTGGGAACCCTCGGCCAGAGTGTGAAATGGCACAACTTGTTTTCAGAAGACATCTTTGCTGAAAATACATTCTGGCTGCAGCTGTTTTTTAGAGATTTAAGTGATCACATTACATCGTAATCAAATCCTTTGGCAGCCAGTATTCTCCAGGTGGCTCAAGGCAACCTGCATAAAGCAGGCAGAACATGTGGCTCAGAGCCACCATTACCTGTGCCTACAGCATCCAGTCCTGCCATGCAGGATGAAGGAGGTAGCAGGCACCTGCCTCTTTGGCCTGATTGGCATTTTCTGCTCCCCGCAGTGTCCTGTGCTGAACATCTTCCCACTCAACTCCTCTCATAGGAAGCCTGCTCTGGATGGCTTTGCCCTCCATTTTTTTATTATTATTATTTTGAGACAGAGTCTCGCTCTATCACCCAGGCTGTAGTGCAGTGGCATGGTCTCGGCTCACTGCAACCTCCGTCTCCCAGGTTCAAGCAGTTCTTGTGTCTCAGCCTCCTGAGTAGTTGGGACTACAGGCATGTGCCACCACCGCCCGGCTAATTTTTGTATTTTTAATAGAGACAGGCTTTCACCATGTTGGCCAGGCTGGTCTCGAACTCCTGACCTCAGGTGATCCATCCTCCTCAGCCTCCCAAAGTGCTGGGATTACAGGCATGAGCCACCATGCCCAGACAGCTTCACCCTCCTTAAAACTGATGTATCTCTTCCCTACTTTTATATCCTAAGATCCTGAGCTTTAAAATAGCTAGCCAAACGAAAACACCAATGGAGACTCTTTGGAAGGGACTGTGCTCAGTCTGAGGACCCAGAGCCAAGTCACAGACATGACCTCAAAAGCCAGTACTGTGCTCTTCCACATGGCATCCACTGGCCACGTGTGGTGATTTAACATGTGAAATGAAGTCTCAAGGCTGAGATGTGATGCGAGTGTATAATACACACTAGATCTCAAAAACTTAGTAGAAATAAAAAATGTAAAATATCATAAAAAGATTTTAAAACTACATAAAAAGAAAAAAAATTTCAAAAGAAATAAAGACAACAAAACAAAAACATAAAATATCTCACTCATGATTTTTGTATTGATTACATGTTGAAATAACATTTTGAAATATCGTGTTAAATCGAATATAGTATGAAATTAATTTCACCTGTTTATTTTTTTTTTAAAGTGTGGCTAACAGAAAAGTAAAGATATATGGTTGGCATTATATTTCTTTTTTTATTATACTTTAAGTTCTAGGGTACATGTGCACAACGTGCAGGTTTGTTACATATGTATACACGTGCCATGTTGGTGTGCTGCACCCATTAACTCATGATTTACATTAGGTATATCTCCTAATGCTATCCCTCCCCCTTTCCCCCACCCCACGACAGGCCCCGGTGTGTGATGTTCCCCTTCCTGTGTCCAAGTGTTCTCACTGTTCAATTCCCACCTATGAGTGAGAACATGCAGTGTTTGGTTTTTTGTCCTTGCGATAGTTTGCTGAGAATGATGGTTTCCAGCTTCATCCATGTCCCTACAAAGGACATGAACTCATCCTTTTTTTGTTAAATGGCTGCATAGTATTCCATGGTGTACATGTGCCACATTTTCTTAATCCAGTCTATCATTGATGGACATTTGGGTTGGTTCCAAGTCTTTGCTATTGTGAATAGTGCCACAATAAACATACGTGTGCATGTGTCTTTATAGCAGCATGATTTATAATCCTTTGGGTATATACTCAGTAATGGGATGGCTGGGTCAAATGGTATTTCTAGTTCTAGATCCTTGAGGAATCAGTTGGCATTATATTTCTATTCCACAATGGTGGTGGATAAATGTTATATGAGGAGAGGGGTGATGCTATAAAGTATTATAAAGACACTGAAAATATGCTGTGGGAGGAGAAAGAAAGGAGAAATAATTTCACATGGGAGACCCTGAAAAATTTCCTGGAAAAAATGGCATCAGAACTGGGTCTTGACATATAGGATTGTAGGAAAAAGGCCTGGAGGCCTTTTACCCGGATGTAGGATGGGGATTTTGACCTCAGCCGGCTGGAGGACCCAAACAGATTCTGTGATGCTATTGTCCTCCAATTGGATTTGGTTTCCAAATCCAATTGCCCATCATTACCTGGTATAGATTCCTGCGTTTGTCTCAGATCTCATGAGCCAAGAGTCACTGGGGTGAGGCCCAGACATCCTCGTCCAGAGTTCTTCAAGCAATTGTCTTATAGCTCATTTGATCCCAGTCTGGGAAACTGTGTTTGGAAATGCTGGGTGCAAATGGTCATCTTTGGGCCTTGAGAGGCCAGCCTCAGTGGGCTTTCCATAATCCACAGCTGCAGGTAGCCATGGTACCTCCTGTCCTTGTATGTTCTTTGAGGAGAAGCACTGAGCAGGAAGCACCTGAAATGCAGAGCTTGGGAAAAAACAGCTCATGCCGTGGGCTCCTAGGTGGGTCAGCCATTTCCCCTGTGGAGGCAGAACAAGAAGGACTTTGTAGGCTTGTAGTTTCCTCAGTTACCACCTAAGTTACTTGTTAAATGGCCCTTCCTGCATACAAAGTGACAGGCCTCTGCCAGGAGTACTGATTCCCCACCTCCAAAAAAAAAAAAAAAAAAAAAAGTGAAAGAAAAAATTCGCCATGGGCGAATATTTGATCACTCTGGACAGTGATCAAAAGCTTTTTATACTTTCAAAAGCTTTTTATAACTACAGTATTAAAAGGAGGAAGAAAGAATGACAGAGAGGGGGACAGACGGGGAGAGAGTTTGTTATCCTGACTGCGTGTGGTGAGTGAGTCTATACTCAAAAAACACCATTATTTTCTTCTCCTTTTCTTCTGCGGCTCTCTACATCTCTCTCCCATCTACAGCAGAGTTTCTGTAAGTGTGGTCCAAAGACCATTGAATCCGAATCCAGTGGGGTGGAACCCAGTAATTTGTTTTTATAACAGAGTCTTCAGATGAGTTCTAGGAAGGCTACATTTGAGAGCAGTTGCTTTAGAGGTTTATGATCCCCGGGATTACTTACCTGGCACCTGATCCAGTACAGGCTGTTCCTTCCCAAGGTGTTTCCCTTTTCAATGCTGGTCAAACTCATCGTCCTACCCTCTCTCATTTCTGCCCTGTGTGCAGCCTTGGAGCTCAATTTGAGTTGTGCAATCACTCAGTGCCATTCTTACTGCGGCAGAGGGTACCTAGCTTCTTCGCAGGAGCAGAAACCCCATTATGTGCTGGAGGCACACAGGGAACCAGACAAGGTCCCTGTGCCAGGGAGCTCACTGTCTAGAAGAGAAGTCAGCGTGAGAGAGACCAGGAATGAGCTTCAGGCATGCAACAAAAATGGTGTATGTGCCCACATAAATTTTACTGGTGAGAAGATATGGAGATACAGGTCTAGATCTATAGGTCTAGGATATATAGTTCTATAGATATAGGATCTATAGATATGGGAAGATTTAGAGATCTAGATCTAAAAAGGCTGAGCTACAGAAGGGATTAATAATGAAGATGAGTGCTTCCTAATAGGAGTGCTTGCTCCCCAATTGGCATGCTAGCAAAATTATGTCAGGTAAGCATCTTTAGTAACTGTCATTAGCAAGTAAACTATATGCTCCAGAATGGGGAATATCAGGATGCAGAAAAATTTCCTTAGGTAGGAGGTCAAGGTGTCCCCCAAGGCACAACTCAAATGCCATTCGGGAACAGTCTGGTCTCACAATAGTTATATGTGGGTATGTATCCTTTCAGAGAAGAATGAGGTTAGTATGGACAGACAGTCAAGAAAAATGCTATAATAGAAATGGATTGTGAGTTGTACCATAAAGAACAATTGGCCAGGGCTTGCTGGGTAAGATTTGAAGCCACAGGCCCAGCATTACCTCCCACCCCTGTTGTTCTGAATGCTGGAACCCCAGCTGCATGGTTGACAGAGAATCACTGAGAAAACAGCTTTCTTAGGAGCAGCCCAATCCACACCAAAATCTATGCTGGGTGCTAAGGAGGGAAGATTTCTGCATCCGTAGCCATTCTTCCTAGAGAGAAACTTTCCCAAGAGCTTCCTCTCTGAGGTTGGGGTCGATCTGGAGAGAGCAGAAAGGATGCCTTGAGCTCCCTGTATGACCCCCAGCTGAGCACAATCCAGAAGTTTTTACAAGAAATGATGGTGGGGGGTGGGAAGGACCATTCCTTCTCTGGACAAGAGGTGGGGTGGGGAGTGGGGGCGGGGAGACTGCGGCTGGAGCTTTGAACCTGATCTCTCAACCTCGACAGGACAACTCAGCAGCCAGCAGCGGCTTTCTTATGGCTCCCAATTTGGCACTTCTAATGCCCCCTCTTTGAGGGTGGGGGATGGACTTTCCAAGGAGGAAAGAAACTTGCAGAATCTTCTAACTGGTAACACACACTCAGAATGTTTTAGGAGAGGCTGTAGTCAGAGGCTGTAGCCCCCATTTTTCAGGGGCCCTCTTGGTCAAAGTATGTATGACTCAGGCTGTGAATGCCAGATGAATTTAGGTTACAGGCATGGCCTCACTAAGAGTGCAAAATGATTTGCTCTTCTGTGCAGGAGCAAATTTCACAGGCCAGTCAGTCACCAGCCAGCATATTGGTTGTGCGCCTTTTCATGCCCACCGCACGGTGTGGAAGAGGGTCTGTGCTCTCTGCGGTTACCTGAGGTCCTGGTCTTGCCAGCTATCACTGTAGAGTCAGTTATGTCTCTGAGTCAGGGCTCATCTGGAGCACAAGGATAGTAACTAATTTTACCTCACTGGGTTGTAGTGAAGATTAAATGAGATAAAGCACCCGGCACATTGAAATATTTGTTAATGTGACTTGTTTCCTTCTTTTACTTTAACATAGCAAAGCTGCAGTATTTTAGTAAATCTGATACCAGTTATTTTGCACTAGTCATTCTCTGAAACTCAGTTTTAGATGGCTTTCTGGGTTCCCTCCAGCTGCAAAAATATAAGTATCTGAGACTCTGAGTTTGTTTCCAATAGGCTTTCTCTGGGTTGGAGAGACTGTTCCACAAAGCCCAGGAGGCTGCAGATGACAGTACCAAACCAAGACATGCAGCTGTCCGGCTGCAGTAGTCTGTGTGAAAGATGAGTAGAAAGAGAGGAAAAAGTCAGAGCTCAAGAAGAGCTCTAAAAGAAAAGACAGCTGCAAGTTTGTCCTCGAGTAAATCAAATTGTGACGTTTATTGGGCTATTTCCAGAATAACACCTGCAAGAAAACTGGAGTGCAGGATTACCTTTCCAAGAAGGATTTAGTTACGATAGCCTACAATAACCAGTATTGTCTAATGGAGTCAGTGTGGCTTAATGAAAAGGTTATAGGTTTGGCGGTGCACAGACCTAGGTTTTAGTTCTGTCGCTCCTACTTTTTATTAGTGATTTGGAGCAGGTTATTTAACCTCCATGCCTCATTTTCCTCCTCACTTAAAAAAAGGTAAATAATATGAACCTTGCAGGGTGATTGTGCGGGTTAGGAAGAAAAGTACTTGATATACAGCTGATATTCAATAAATAGGAGCTATATGGCTAGGAGCACATTACACCAGGGCACATATCCTAGAGGCCTCTGGACCTGGGACCATCATTTCTGAAGCTTATAGCTTGTTCAGGGTAGAGAACTGAGGGGGGTTTGGGAGGAGGCAGCAAGTCTGGGGTGGGTAGGTAGAGAGCAGAAAAGAGATCAAAAGGCCTATAAAGATCTGTCAAACTTTAAAATGCAAATCCTGTTGTGGCTCAGTAGAGACCAAATCTTTCATTATCACCTCTCTGGGAAGGGCTTGAGGGGTGGGGGGGTGGGAAGGTTAATTAGTCTTTCCCTTCATGGAGTGTTTTGGTTTCGTGTGGTGTGGTTTTGTGGCCAAGCCTGGGTATGTGATAAATCTTTTATTCAACTCTGCCCTGGAAACATGGGTAGAGTTAAGAAACTAACAGCATATGGTTTTCTTTATGAGTAGACCATGAGTTCCTCAAGGAAAGGAAACTATCTAACCCTTGTGATAGCTCCTACAGTTTGCAAGATTCTTGGCATAGAGTATTTGCTTCCTGAATGGATGGATGGGGTGGTGGATGGATGAATGTTAATTCTGAGCATAGTAAGTCATCTTCACTGGCTGGCAATTTAGTTCTCAGGGGTCTCCTTGCTCTATCCTTCACTGGGAGCCATGATAGGAGCAATCCTCATGATGGTGGCCCTCTGGGAAACTCTGGGATGGTGCAGTCTCTTCCAATGGCCAAGGGTCTGTGCAGTCCAATCACTTGGGCAGATTATGCTGCATGGCAGCTTTGCCTTACTGCTGGCCCTAAAGAGGTAGCCTCCTAGGTCCCACAGTTGGCCATTTATTTCTGGAGAGAGCGTGGAATTCCAGGAAAGTCCCACAGAGGAGACCTTCAAGAGTAAGTGGGCCAATAATTATCTGGCACTCACTGTGTGCCAGTCTCGATCCATCTTGCCCCTACCACAACCATGGCCAGAGTGAGAAAGAAGAAACCTCACTGCCTTGCTTTCTCTTTCCTCCTTTCCTCTTCTCTTGCCCGCGTTTTCTCATAAAACTATACTTGTAAGTAAAGAGTGAGGCTTTTTTCCAGAAAAAAGTATCTAGCAAATGTCCCTCTCTGGAATGCCCTAAAACACATGTCATTGATGACTCTTTCCTGGATAAACTCACTGATTCTCTAAGTCTCATCCAAGACCTGACAGTCTTACCCTCCCCCTAACTGGCATCCACCACAAAAGGCTCCTATCAAGTTTCTCAGCTCTAGGAGGCCCTATAAGGACCACCTGTATCTTCACTGACCACTCTCTTCTACATTCTGGTGCCCTCTGATACATTTCCCTTCACTCAGCACTTACTGTATTTGTTATCTCAAGAATAAATGAGTCTGGCATCACAACTAACTTATAAACATCTTGAAGGGAGGAAGCAGATGTTTTCCCATGTACTTGGCAGTATGCCTGTCCCAGGACTGAATCCATCTTAAGAATTCAATAAAAAATTGCAGCATGTTCGTGGTCAAAGCCTGGGCTTTGTCTTTACATAGATTTGGGTTGAAAAGCTAACTTGATTTATTCATTGAACAAGTATGTATTAAATGCATACTGCATATTAGGCACTGTTCAAAGCTCTGGGAATACAACAAAGAGTAAAGCAAAGTTTATTCTCTTGTTATGTTACTCTAGTGATAGGAGACAAAGAAAAAAATCTAATAAGTTGTAAAGAAAATAATACAGGGTGAGAGGCAAGTGTGAAGGAGTGGTGGTAGGAGTGGGAGGTGGCTACTTAGCTAACGTGCTCACAAAAGTACTAGCCAAGAGGCTGAGACCTCGGTGGTGATAAACAGCTTACCATCCAGAGGTCTGTGGGAAGTCCACACAGAGTGGGCAGCAATGGCAAGAGCCAGAGTGTACAGTAAGCTTGGTATGTTTAAGGAAAGAAAGCAAGCCATGTGCCAAGGGCCAGGGGAGCAAGGGGAAGCGACGGAGGATGAGGTGAGGGAGACAGGTAGCCACAGCTGCTGAGGAGGCTGGGATTTACAGAGGGTGATAAGAAGCCATGGGACGCTTTTACACAGGGGGTGGTTAGTATGTGATTTGCGTTTTCAATAGATTAATCTTGCTGATATGTGCACAACAGAAAGGCACGAGCATTTTGAAGCAGGAAGATCAACTGGAAGGCTGTTTAGCAGTTCCTGCAAGAAAGATGGTACTTTGGAGTAGCAATGCTACCTCCAAAGGTAACTGGGAGATTTGTGTACTAAGTGTGACCTCAGGCATGTTGCTTTCCTTCCCTGGACTGCTTTCAAGAGAATAAAAAATGTACTTAACATGATCAGCACGGGGCCTGGCTCATTGCAGATACTGTGCAAAGGTGATTCAACTAAGACATGAACACTAAAAAGGAGACACTCTTAACTCATGCACCACTAAGAACTTGCAGAGGACTCATCCCTGTGGTTAGAGCTTTGGAGAGTAAGGAAATGACTGGAATTCTGCCTGTCCCCCTCATCTTCATTCTGGGGGTTTTCATATGAAAACCCCCCAGCCTCCTACAATGTTGACTTTAATAGTTATTTAATTAACTTATTTATTTATATATTTATTTATTTTTGAGACGGAGTTTCGCTCTTGTTGCCCAGGCTGGAGTGCAATGGCGCGATCTCGGCTCACCGCAACCTCTGCCTCCCGGGTTCAAGGGCTTCTCCTGCCTCAGCCTCCCAAGTAGCTGGGATTACAGGCATGTGCCACCATGCCCGGCTAATTTTTTGTATTTTTAGTAGAGACTGGGTTTCTCCATGTTGGTCAGGCTGGTTTGGAACTCCCAACCTCAGGTGATCCGCCTGCCTCAGCCTCCCAAAGTGGTGGGATTACAGGTGGGAGCCACCGCGCCTGGCCTAATAGTTATTTTTTTAATTCTGAAAATTAAAATAAATTCTGTGACAATTTCCTGAGTGTTCACAAGACAGTTTTTCTGGGATTCTGAACTACTCTTATTTAGTAGTCAGTTTTCTAGAAATCATATCAGTAGAGTTTATTGCATCTCTCTGATGAATGGGTTCTTTAAAAGTGCCACAGACTCAGAGAGATGTGGGGTTCACAGAAAAAGCCTTAACTGTTTCCAAAGAAACAAAGAGTGGGGAGAAAATGATGGATGGAGCTTTGGAGTTAGAGTAGCTCTGAGTTAAAATCTTGGTCCTGCTGTTTACTAGATGTTGACCTTGGATAAGTTCCTTAACTTCTCTTAGCCTCAGATGCAAATAGGGGATAACAGTGCCTGCCTCTCAGTATTTTTTTTTTTTTTTGAGACTGAGTCTCGTTCTATCACCCAGGCTAGAGTGCTGTGGCATGATCTTGGCTCACTGCAACCTTCACCTCCCAGGTTCAAGTGATTCTCCTGCCTCAGCCTCCCGAGTAGCTGGGATTACAGTCACCTGCCATCACGCCCAGCAAATTTTTGTATTTTCAGTAGAGACGGGGTTTCACCATTTTGGCCAGGCTGGTCTTGAACTCCTGACCTCAAGTGATCCGCCCGCCTCAGCCTCCCAAAGTCCTGAGATTACAGGCATGAGCCACCGCACTCGGCCCTCTCAGTTTTTGTGGGGCGTAGATGAGGAATTTTAAGAATTAGATGTGTGGCACATAAACATTTAACATATGTCATTTGTCTTTTCCCAAGATTCACTAATGCTTTGCATAACAGACTTTTGAAACTGTATAAGCTCACTTATATTCATTAGTGCCTAATGAACTTTGTCTCTTTTTTCTTCATATGTAGACAATTCCCTTCTCAAAAAATTATAGAGTATAATGGAACATATTTTAAAGACATCAGAAATGCTGAATTTATATATTGATACGTGTTTCATATATATTGATATGCGTCCTCAAATGGGATGGAGAGTGAAGACAGAAGGAAGTGAAGCCAGGGGAGGTTTGCCCAGTGTAGCTAGTCTCTATCAGAACCAAGACACTTCCTCAGACCAGTGCCTCTCAGGTTTAAGAAAATGTCCTTCGGTTTGTTTCAGAAGATGTAGACCTGATTGTACCCAGTCCTTTGACACCTCCCATAGAACTATCCCAGCTGTGAAGTTGTGGGGCCTTCACAGCGCCTGGCCTAGAGACGTCTGTGTTTGGACAATTATGTAAAATAAGGCTTCTGGCATCTGGCATCTGGCATTCACAGTTAGCATTTTCAGTTTAATAAAAACGTAAATGTTAGCAATAATTACATCAGAGCAGTTACTGCAACCAGTATTGCTTGAAAACTAAAAGGCAAAGGGACTTGTAGTCTCCCCTCACCTGGGTGTTTCATAAATCACTTTCTGACTTTCAGATTGAAAGCATTTATTAAAGAACAGCCGTTTCTGATTTCACTCACAGAAAGGCAGGTATCAGTTGGGTGGTAGATGAAGATTTAACTTATGATGACGCAAACACTATAGAATCTTTTCATTAGGTCTTTGATCAGAGAATTCTAAATATACAAGCAGTTTTTACCATTTGGGGAGGTTATTTTCCTTTTTGGGTCTTGGAATAGAATAATGCTAAGGAAGCTCAGACACTTAATCCTTATTAAAGTTCTTCTTTGATGCTTACAAAAGGAATTCTTCTAAACATTAGCAAAATATTCATTCTGCCCACAGAAGGGTCAGCCTACTTTGCTGATAACTCTGCCCTCCATTGCCAAACAGGCAACTTAGTGAATTTATCTGGCCTGGGGCTAACTAAACTATCCATTTTGAAATCATCAAAAAGAGTCCCACTGTTTTGGACTATTGCTGGGGCTGACTCTGCAGCATGTCAGTTTATAGGCAATGTGGCAAGTTCCTGAAAGAGGCTAATGCAAGCTGTTAGCTGAGCCTGATAAAAGCTTTGCTTGGTTAAGAAGGTGATAAACATTGCCACGTTAATATATAGATGAAAGGAGGCTGCCTTCAGTAATACTATTTAAGCTGTTTTACCCTAAGTGCTACCAGCAGAACAGGAACAGCAGTTGATTTAGACTCTTCACCTTCAGAAAGCAAGCATCTTGGCAGGGCGTCTTGAAGTGGCTAAAGGCGACTAGGTATCAAGCTAATCCACCCGGTTAGATTTGGTCTCTCTCCACAGAGAAATTTAGAACTAAGACCCTGACTGAAATCACCATCAGTCAATCAGCACCCATTCACTGAACACTTTCTTTTTTCTTTTGTTTAGATGGAGTTTCGCTCTTCTTGCCCAGGCTAGAGTGCAATGGCACGGTCTCAGCTCACTGCAACCTCCGCCTCCCGGGTTCAAGTGATTCTCTTGTCTCAGCCTCCCAAGTAGGTGGGATTACAGGTACCCATCACCACACCCGGCTAATTTTTGTATTTTTTGTAGAGATGGGATTTCACCATGTTGGCCAGGTTGGTCTCGAACTCCTGACCTCAGGCAATCTGCCCATCTCGGCCTCCCAAACTGCTGATGTGAGCCCCCACACCCGGCCTCACTGGACACTTTCTGTGCCAATCCCTCTGCCGGGTGCTATAAATTCAGAAGTACAATATAGTTTCTCTGCCCTGAGGATGTTCATAGTCTGGTGTGGGAAACAAAAAATGTAACCCAACACAAAACTATAGACAGATAATATTTTAGAAGTCTATGGGGACTAGCAGCGATCCAGAGAAGCAACAGAAGACTTTCTTAGAGAAGACCACGTTTACACTGAATCTCGATGGGTAAGAGTTGGTGAGGCAGAAGAGTCAAACCCTGTGTAGGCATCTGGGGGAAGTGAACAGAAATAAGACTTGATTCCTGTGCTCAGAGATCTTAGTCTTATCTGAGGGAGAGATAGAGGCATTTTTAAGTAAGGAATATTGTGCCTCCTACACGGCAGGCATCAGCTAATATTTGTGGAACGAATGAATGAATGTGATAAATACTCTGATGAATGTATGGGTAATTTCTTTGGGGACACGTATAGAGCAAATAATTCTGCTTGGGATTATAAAGTTATGACATGTGAGCTGGTCCTTAATAGATGAGGTTTATCTAGCCAATAAGGAAGCAGCAAGCATTTCAGGCAGAGACATCCGTGCAGGGAATAACAAATGGTCTTAGGTGGCTAGAGCCAAGGTTCATGACTATGAATGCATGAAGCTGAAGAGACAAGTTGGGGCCAGGCTGCCTCAGCCTTGTGAGCCATGCTGAAGTACTAAGGCCAGATTCCGCAAGGTTAAGTGCAGCCACTGCTGGTACAGGCTCCATGGGTGGGGCGTTGTGGAGAATTGTCATTCATGCATCTAGTAGTTACTGTGTCAAACACTGTTCTAGAATTCTGTGAACAGAAAGGACTTAGTCCCTGCCCTCATCAAGTCTGCATTCTAGTTTGGGAAACAATGAAAAAAAAAACCCTGAACTCAACATTTATAATGTCAGGAGATAAAAAGATTAGGACTCTCTGAGGTGATATTTGAGTCAAGAACTGAATGATGTATGGAAACATAAATACAGAGAATTGTTTTCACTCATGAATTAGGAGATCTGAGTTCTAGTCCCAGCTTTAACTTTTTCTAGTTGGGTGACCTGGAAAAATTTTAAACTCACTGGGCCTCCAGCTGGCTGTTGTACATAGAAAAGCCTAAGAACCTTGCTCAAAGTGGGTGCTCCAAAAATGTGGTAGGTGATTAGATGAATATTAGTTACCACATTATATTTAAGCAAGCACAATTTTTTTCCAGTAGCTCAAATGCCACGTTAGGATCCCTTGTGTGATGCTAATCTAGAGTTTCCTTCTTCTGAAAACACATCTCCCACCCTCACACTGCCCCCTACTAGTGTTACTGTGTCCACATTTTTACCAAAAGGCAGTGCTTGGCTGCATTCAGTTTGAATCCAAAATCTGATAGTGCTCTTTCCAAATGATGGTATCGGACACAGCTACAATTTACTGAGTCCCTAGAATGTGTCAATGGTGGCAGTGACTTCACAGATATCAAAACCTTATAGGATGCCATTGATCACTGTATCTCCAGGGCCCAGCACAATGCCTGTCACATAAACATTTGAATAAATGAGTCTCAGAAAAGTTAGAAAATGTCTCCAGGGTCACAGAGAAAATCTGTTAGCAGAAAAGAATCTGAAGCTAGGTATGCCTGACAAGATGGCTCAAGCCATGCTACCCAAAAGGAAAAAGTAGAGTCCTCATTATAAAATCTAGAAGACGGAGATTGTATATTTTTTTTTAATTTAAATTTTAATTTTTTTTAGACACTTTTTCGCCCATCCTGGAGTGAAGTGCAGTGGCACTATCTCAGCTCACTGCAACCTCTGCCTCCCAGGTTCAAGCGATTCTCCTGCCTCAGCTTCCCGAGTAGCTGGGATTACAGGTGCACGCCACCAGGCCCCACTGATTTTTGTATTTTTAGTAGAGATGGGGTTTCACCATGTTGGCCAGGCTGGTCTTGAACTCCTGGCCTCAAGCAATCCACCCGCCTCAGCCTCCCAGCGTGCTGGGATTACAGGCACGGCCACCATGTGTGGCCAGATAGAGATTTTATATGGAAAAAAATCTAAAAGAAAAACCGCCAAGGACTTAAGATTGATTACACAAAGCCCAAAGCAGTTAGGCCAGAGCAGGGCCTTAGCATGGAGCCATCAGAAAGAAACCAATTACAGGATCCTAGCAGCTGGAGGCAGATCTTTGGCAGAGTATTTCAAAGGGAAGCAAGGCATCCTCAACAAGACAATGAAGTGATGAGCAAATACGTAAGCAGCAACTTAAAAGATTTGATTTACAAGTGATAACATGACCACATCAAGGAACAAGAACATGGAATGCTTTAAAAAGAATTGGTATAACCTGGACAATGAAAACAGAGAAATCCTTGAGGAGGAGGAACTATAATTTTACACTTATGCCTATATTAGGTATATCAGCAGTCCCCAACCTTTCTGGCACCGAGGACCACTTTCGTGGAAAACAGTTTTTCCACGGATGATGAGGGGGAGATGGCTGTGGGATGAAGCTGTTCCACCTTATATCATCAGGCATTAGATTCTCAGTAGGAGTGCACAAACTAGATCCTCGCATGCGTAGTTCACAATAGGGTTCATGCTCCTATGAGACTCTAATGCCACCGCTGATCTGACAGGAGGCAGAGCTCAGGCGGTAATTCTCGCTTGCATGCCGCTCAACACCTGCTGTGCAGGCCGGTTCCTGACAGGTGATGGACTGGTACCTGTCCATAGCCCAGGGGTTGGGGACTCCTGAGCTATATAGCAAAATGAACTCAGACTGGCCACTCCCAACTAATTTTGTTATTTTCATCTCATACAATCTCAAGAATGCCTCTAGATATTTTATTTACCTGGTCTAGATGGTCCTGAACTATCACAGCCACGACTGAACAAATCAGAATAAGCAGAACCTTGGAAAATGTTTTAGCAACGACTTTTTTCTCTCTGAATATTCAAAACATTGCAATACAGTCCTTAAAGAGTTGAGATGATACAAGGTTTGTAAATAATCTAGTTGAATGCTTAGCACACAATAGCTAATACACATTAGTTTCTCCCCTTCCTCATTCTGGAACTGGGATTGTTTCCACTTTTAGGCTATTATGAATAACGCTGCTATGGACATTTGTGCACAGGTTTTTATGTGGATATAAGTTTTCATTTATCTTGGGTATATACCTGGGAGAGGAATTGCTGGATCATATCGTAACTCTACATTTAACCATTTGAAGAACTACCAGACTTTTTCCAAAGTGGCTGCCCCATTTTACATTCCTACCAGCATGTTATGAGAATTTCAATTTCTCCACATCCTCATCAATACTAGTTATTATCTTTTTGATTGTAGACATTGGGTGTCTTGTGGTTTTGATTTGCATTTTCCTGATGAGTAATAGTACTGAAAATTTTTAAATGTGCTTCTTGGTCATTTGTATTTCTTCTTTGCAGAAAAGCCTGTTGAGCTATTTTGCCCATTTCAAAGTTGTCTTTTTATAATTGAGTTACGAGTTCTTTATATACCACCAAGATACAAGTCCCTTATCACATTTATGATTTGCAAATATTTTCTCCCATTCTGTAAGCTGTCTTTTCACTTTCTTGATGGTGTCATTTCAAACAACAGTTTTTAGTTTTGATGAAGTCCAGTTTGTGTATTCTCTTTTGTTGCCTATGCTTTGGGTATATTTAAGAAATCCTTGCCTAATCCAAAGTCACAAAGATTTACGTCTATGTTTTCTTCTAAGAGTTTTATAGCTTTAGCTTACATTTAGGTATTTGATCCATCTTAAGTTACTTCTTAAATATCATGTGAAGTAGGAATCAAATGTCACTCTTTTTTACATAGATATCCAATAGATCCAGAAGACAGTTGGTTCAAAGACTGTTTCCTTTTCCCATTGAATTGTCTTGGCACTCTGGTTTAAAATCAACTGACCATAAACGTGAAGGCTTTTTTTCTGAATTCTCAATTCTATGCCATTGATCTATATTGACCTATATGTCTACCTTTATACCAGTACAACACATTCATTACTGTAGTTCTGTATACTTAAAATCAGGAAGGGTGGGTCATTCAAACTCTTTCAAGATTCTTCCTAATATTCTGTGTTCCTGAAATTTCCATATGAATTTTAGAATCAGCAAAGAAACCAGCTGGAATTAATGGGAATTACATTTAACCTGTAGATCAGTTTGGGGAGTATGGTCATCTTATGTCTTCTGATTCATGAACATGGAATGTATTTCCATTTATTTAGAGGTGTACAGAAATACAATTGAGGCTGAGTATGGTGATTCACACCTGTAATCCCAGCACTCTGGGAGGCCAAGATGGGTGGATCGCTTGAGGCCAGGAGTTCATGACTAGCCTGACCAACAAGGGAAAATCCCATCTCTACTAAAAATACTAAAAATTAGCCAGGCATGGTGGCACACACCTGTAATCCCTGCTACTCAGGTGGCTGAGGCATGTGAATTGCGTGAACCTGGGAGGCAGAGGTTGCAGTGAGCCAAGATGGCGCCACTACACCCCAGTCTCGACAAGAGTGAGACTCTGTCTCAAAAAAAAACAAACAAACAAAAACAAAATGCAATGATCATTGCACATTGGTCTTGTATTCTACGACCTGGATGAACTCGCTTTATCAGTTTTAATAGTTTTCTAGTGGATTTCTTAGAATTTTTGATGCATACAATCTTGTCATCTGCAGACACCATTTTCCTTTTCAATCTGGATGCCTCTCTAGAATTTTTGAGTGCGACCTAAATTAATGCATGACTTAATATTTGGTGGTATTAAAGTCAATATTGCATAGATTCAAAACAAAAGGGGGAAAAGTGCTATAGAAGGAAAAAATAGAAAAATAAAAAAATTAGCAGGCAAGAAAACTGATTCCCACAGGATTATTAGTTAGCTACGTGATCCTGGGCTAGTTTCTAATCCTTTTGGTTATACATTTGATTTTCCAAATCTTTTTCCACCCGATATACCTGTGAACTTCTGGGGATACATAAGGAGTTACTTTGCTCAGTTTATTCAGCCATTACGAGCATGATTTTTACTAAACATACTGACATCTTCTCTCCTTTTCTATTTTTGCCCCTCAAAAGAGACTAAGACACCAAAAGTGGAAGAGCACACTAAAGGTATCTTCAAACTGAGGGAGAATATAACTCTTAGGAAAAAGAGTTATAATGGAACACCTTGCATGGCCTTCCAAAGTGGAAGAGCACACTAAAGGTATCTTCACACTGAGGGAGAAAATAGCTTTTAGGAAAGCGAGTTATAACGGAAGACCTTGCAAGGCCTTAAAAGAATGAAGAGAAGTATAAAGAATTATCCTCTTGGGAACAAGCTGGAATATAAATACTTTAGAGGCTTGTGGAAGAAAAAGTAAAAATGAACAATCAGATGAAGTATTTACTCTGTCAAGTACTATACCAATATTTTAAAACTACAATTAAGGAATAGTAAGGACATAATGACATACATTATCAGAAGTTTTCAATACAGAGGATCTTTTAAAACCAGAGTTTTAGGTGACTTTTTAAAAATTACAACTTTGATTAAAATGGCAAGTGTTTCATGACACAGAGAACATTAAAATTTTTACCACACATGAACTAGATACCTTCCCTCTGTCTCTGCTATTGCTGATAGTACTAAAATAGTTAAGTTATACCTAAGTGTTTTAAATTTCAAGTGCTTTGGAATCTTAGTTTTAATCTCTGGCGTAAAGGAAGAGGGCTATCCAAACAAGTACCAGAGTTGTTTTCTTTCTTATGACATTGTAGAGAACTCAGAGAACTTTTTGTTGAATCTGGGAAACAGCTTTCTTCATTTTCAGCTGTTTCATAAGATCTGACACACTGTTCAGTTTCTTTAATATGTATCTTAGGGCTACTCAACTTGTTATGGCCACTTTCTTTGAAATGGGATGAATTATGCTTTTGAGAACTGTGCTTCATTCTTTGAGTTGTGTACTTAGCTTTCCCAAACACTGGGGCACTTTGTTCATCAGAGGAATGTCTGTCAAGGCAAACACTCTTCTTCATTAAAATTTTCCGAGTGGTTTGCATATCAACTTTTCTACTATGATCTAAAGCAGTATTTGGTGGTCTAACATTGCAGGTCTTTACCACTGTGTTACTGACAGAATAAGGGACAGAAGTATTGACTTTATAGTCTTCTTGAAGCAGCTGGTCTCCTTTTAGAATTTTAGAGTCTCTGGATTCATTTTGCAAGGGAATTCCTGGAAGATCCTTTGAAAGATGTGATGTACAATCAGAACCACTGTTAGCAATACAAGATTCTTTTACACTAAGTATGGACAAAGTTTTCAGGTTGACATCTGGTTGTAGATTATCCTGAGGATATGATAATTTTGTAAATATTCGTTCCTTTAAAGGCAAATCCTGAAGACATAAATCAGTAATGCCAGAAAGTAGATGCTCTTCAGGACTAATCCCATCAGAATCCTCATCCAACACTTTCTTTATGTTTGCAGTGTACCTTTCTGATTCACAGGACAGTTGTTCTGGGATATTTTCAAAGCCATCAGGGATGGCTGATAGCTCTGATTCAACTTCTGATTTTAAATCATGAGAAAAAGTATTCCTTTGAATAGCTGGAGAATTACTAAAAGAAGTACCTTCCCAGTCAATAGTGCTCAAGTGTAGATCAGCAATCACGGATATATTATGAGATGAGGTATTGGGTTGACTAGATTCTGAAATTAGAGACTTACTGACAGCTTTAATTTGCTGTATAGCCAAAGGTCTTAGAGAAGACATGAACTGTTCTTGTGCATTCAAACATGGAGTATTTTTAGGTAAAAGCAAGCTATTCAATGAGGCAGAAATAGATTCCTGTGGTAATGTAGGATCAGGGGAAATCCCCGAATTTAACTTGGAATTCTGCTTATGAAAGATTTCACATGTGGGTTTTAAAGTCATGTGTGACTGAAAGCTCATTACTTCATCTGGTTCTGGCAAATTGTTTTCTTTAGGCTTAATACCTGAAAAGAAAAAAAATACATATAATCAACATTTATTTTCTTTGCTTTAACTTGGGTAAAAAATAAAAAAATAAACAGTTCAGAGAGAAATCTCTATGAATAGTTTCTGCCTTTTTTTGATCTCAGTGCATTGCTAGATTATAAAATATTTCCCTCTGAAAACAATGTTATAATTGAGTTGTTTTCCTCACTGAGTTCTGGGAAATAAAGAAAACATTTAAAATCCGAATATGCTATAAACAGTAGCTGCTGAACAACTAGTCAGTATAACTATTATTATTAACACGTGTCTAAGTTAGTAGACAGAACAGAATGATTTATTCCTGGCTTTTCAGCTTTAAAAGAAAGTATGTGAAGACAAAGAAGGAAGAATACAATTCTTGACTTTTGAGTTTATAGATTTTTCAGTAAAATTTAGACACAGCAGATTCAAACAGAAGAGGTGGCTCTTCTATAACATTTGCATGTGGCATAAATAGCTATCAAACCCAAAACTTACGTTTTTGTTTCTTCCCTTTAATTTCTAACTTTTGTTTTTGGTAAACAGCAACGATCTCAGGATATGCTGCTTCAAACAATGATTCTTCCTCAATTGTTAATAAAGCAAATTCTCCATGTTGTTTATCTTCCATAGCATAATGTTCTAAAAGATTAAAAATACAGCAAAGTGTCCTTAATTAGGCATTTAAAAAAATTCAATCGGTCAGGCTTGATGGCTCACACCTGTAATCCCAGCATTTTGGGAGGCCAAGGCGGGCGGATCATGAGGTCAGGAGTTCGAGACCAGCCTGACCAACACCAGACCAGCCCGATCAACATGGTGAAACCATGTCTCTATAAAAAATACAAAAATTAGCCGGGCATGCTGGTGCGTGCCTATAATCCCAGCTACTCAGGAGGCTGAGGCAGAAGAATCACTTGAACCTGGGAGGTAGAGGTTGCAGTGAGCCGAGATCGCACCACTACACTCCAGCCTGGGCAACAAGAGCAAAACTCCATCTCAAAAAAAAAAAAATCAATCTTTCCAGGTAACTAGCTTTATCAGGTAAAATAAATCATTCACAAATGAACTATTCATTGC
This sequence comes from Homo sapiens, assembly GCF_000001405.40. Lineage (NCBI taxonomy): Eukaryota > Metazoa > Chordata > Mammalia > Primates > Hominidae > Homo > Homo sapiens. The sequence continues at coordinate 17,779,539 of NC_000002.12, read as the reverse complement.
AAATCTTGCTTTATAACACTATATTCTAACAATCTGTTGATAGCAGTACATAATTTATTTTCTTTTTGCCTGGCAATGGCCGGATGGAGATTCTTTCTAAATTAGAACTTTAAATCCTCTTATTTCAGAGATGGTAGCAGTAGCTGAAAGGACAGAAAACTTTGTTTAGGTAAGGTTGGTTGGTTTAATTCAGTTAAGTGTTAAAATTCCAGGTAAGAAATGAAACAGTTTCCTAAAACTCAACATCAGCTTTCTTTAGTGATAGCTTCTGAAAAGAACACAATTGAAAGGGCCATCAAAAGTATTACTACTTTCCAGGCTGGGCGCAGTGGCTCACGCCTGTAATCCCAGCACTTTGGGAGGCCGAAGTGGGTGGAACACCTGAGGTCAGGGGTTCGAGACCAGCCTGGCCAAAATAACGAAACTCCATCTCTACTAAAAATATGAAAATTAGCCAGGCATGATGGCAGGTGCCTGTAACCCCAGCTACTTGGGAGGCTGAGGCAGGAGAATCACTTGAACCAGGAGGCAGAGGTTGCTGTAAGCCAAGGTGGTGCCACTGCACTCTCCAGCCTGGGCAACAGAGCAAGACTCCGTCTCAAAAAAAAAGTATTATTACTTTCATTTTAAATTATCTGTTTTTCACTATCTCCAGTTTGGGAGCTAATTCAGAGTTCACTGTATTTCTGTCTGGAGCAAAAATAAGAATAATTTGACAATAAAAAATTCCCACTGAAAACTAAGCAGGGTTAAAAAAAAAAAGGAAAGGAAGTGTACCCCAGGAGTATTTTAACAATCTCAATTTTTTCAGATGCAACTATACATGACATTGAATGACCACAGCATTTGTAAAAGCATGTATTTGAGAAATATAAATAAAAATTATTTCGGTATTACTTCCTTAAACATTACAAAAGAAATGTCAAATTGAGACATTAAAATAAAATCAAAGTTTATCATATTTACTATTAGTCAAAACCTATCTAAAATAACACAGGCAAACTATGAAATCAACCTGTGGTGCATGTGATGGGTTTCATCTTTATTTTTCACACACATGCTGTGTGTGTATATACATATATGTACACACATATATGTGTGTGTATATACATATATGTACACACATATATGTGTGTATATACATATATGTACACACATATATGTGTGTGTATATACATATATGTACACACATGTGTGTGTATACATATATGTACACGTGTGTGTGTATATACATATATGTACACACACATGTGTGTGTATATACATATATGTACACACATATGTGTGTATACATATATGTACACACATATATGTGTGTGTATACATATATATACACATATATGTGTGTGTGTATATATATATATACACATATCTATGTGTGTGTGTATATATATATATATACACATATACAATATTTACTAGACATACATGGTCAAATATTATAAATGGAATATTTTGCTTAAAGTGAATACATACCAGGCTTTTCCCATTCTATTTCAAAACAATGAACTCCATTTCTGATTCGAGTCTTAACAATTCTGAAAAACAAATTCATTTAATGAAGTCTAATTGCATAAGATATTTGGAAATTTTCCATTTCTAACCTGAATAATTTCCATAGATTTTTTTTTCCCAGGTAAAAACATTTTAAGGAATTACTGCCTATTCCTTTGACTAGTTTATTCAAAAGATAATATTGTTAGGTACATAGAGTTTATTACTGTTAGTTCTTCTAAGTAAGTTGTTTCTTACCTTATTATGCAGTGTTCCTCATCTTCACAATAATGATTTTTGTTTTAAAATTTGTTATATTACTTTGGTAAGTACAGTATTTGTCTACTAAGTCTTCTTAAATCTCTTTATTTTCAAACTCTGTGTAGTATTATTCTACATGTACCTTGTAAGCTGAATATTGCTGAATTTTATTTACTTATCCAATATAATCTGTCTTTTAATAGGTGAGTTTAATCTGCTTACATTTTTGGTGATTACTGATAAAGCTGCTGGATTCATTCATGCACCTTATTTTGTTTGCTGTCACCAGCTTTTTCTTTGTTACTTCCATCTTCCTTCTGCCTGTATTATTTTGGTTTGATAGTTTTACTTTCTTATTTTAATTGTACTGGTTTGGAAGACAGAGATTATATTTCTAGCAGGTACTCTTAAGTGTTTGAATGCATACTTTGGGAGTTTTGGCTTATCATCATCATCATCATGTATTAATCATTAAATATTATACAAATATTTATATACATAATTTTTTCTAGTCAGTTTATTAAATTATCCAAATACGTTTTAATCAATTCCTGGGCTGACCACTGTTTCTTGTAATTCACATCTTCCCTCTGTGTTCATTTTTTTTCTTGCTGAAGTATATCCTTTAACAACACTTTAAAAAATAAATTATCCTTTTTTTTTTGAGTCTTGCTCTGTTTGCTCAGGCTGGAGTGCAGTGGCACCATCTCAGCTCACTGTAACCTCTGCCTCCTGGGTTCAAGAGATTCTCGTGCCTCAGCATCCCAAGTAAATGGGATTACAGGCATGTACCACCAGGTCCAGCTAATGTTTTGTATTTGTAGTAGACAGGTGTTTTCGCTATGTTGGCCAGAATGGTCTAGAATCCCTGGCCTCAACTGATCCGCCTGCTTTGGTCTCCCAAAGTGCTAATCCAGGCATAAACCACCACGCCCAGCCCTTTAACTGCACTTTTAAGGAAGGTTTGAGTGGTAAACTCTCTTACTCTTCATATGTTTAAAAACGCTTTTCCTATGAATAATGTTTTAATGATTTCAAGGTTGTAAATTATTTTTACTCGGTACTTTGAAACATCACTCCAGCATCTTCTGGCATCTATTACGGTTATGAAAGATGTGTGCTATCAGATAGCTGATCTTTTTTCTTTTATACTTCCCAGCAAACTGTTTATTCTGAAAAATTTCAAACCTTTATAAAAGTTGCAAAAATAGTACAATGAATACTCACATACTTTTACTGAGATTCATCAATTGTTAACATTTTATCACATTTGCTTTCTCCATTTGCAAGTTAGTTGCAAACATGTCTCATGGCACATCACCCCTAAATACTGCAGCCTGTCTATGTAGAGTATTTTCCTACATTGCCACAAAAAACTTTCACACTCTGGAAGTTTAACAATGATACAATATAGACCATATTCAAATTTCCCCAATTGTCCTAAAAAAAAGGTCCTTTATGACTTAAAAACAATTCAGAATTCAATCAGGATCATTTTTCTTGAATTGTGTTGTCTCTTTATTTTAATCCAGAAAACTACCTAGATATTTTTTATTTTTGAAGAGTCCAGGATAATAGCTCCACAGAACGTTTTTCACTTGGATTCATTAGATTGTTTCCTCATGATTAGATACAGATTAAACTTTCCTTTTTTTTTTTTTTTTTTTTTGAGACAGGGTCTCACTCTGTCACCAAGTTTGGAGTGCAGTGGTATGAACTCAGCTCACTGCAACCTCCACCTCCCAGGCTCAAGCAATCCTCCCAACTCAGCCTTCCAAGTAGCTGGGATCACAGGTGCTCTCCACCACGCCTGGCTAATTTTTTGTATTTTTGGAAGAGATGGGTCTTGAACTCCTGAGCTCAGTCGATCCACCGGCCTCAGTCTCCCAAAATGCTGCTGGGATTACAGGTGCGAGCCACCACGCCCCACCTAGCTCAAGCTTTTTTGGCAAAAATATTATATGATAATGTAGTATCTTTCTCAGTTTAACGTATTAGAAAGCATATGAAAGCAGTCTATTGTTCTTTTATTGGTAATTAATCACTGAGTTAAACTGATGTCCACTGGATTTCTCCACTTTTGAAGATACCATTTTTCCTTTGTAATTAATCTGTAGAGCGGTACTTGAGACTGTGACTATCCTTTCTCTGCAGCAATCTTTCATCTAATGGTTTTAACATCCATTGATGATTGTTGCCTGATTGGTTTGGTACTTTTTAAAATATTCCTTTTATCGTTGATGTCTACAATATGCCTTGGGTATTTCATGTATTGCGACTATAATTTGTAGTATAACTATCTGTCTTAAATTTTGGAAAACTCTCAGACATCATCTCTTCAAAAATTACTTTTCAACCTTTTCTTTTATTAGCTTCTAGGAACTAATCCAAAACTACTCTTAAGCATTTTTTATATGAGAGTCTTTGAGATCATTTCTGTGTGACTTGATTTGTCTTCCAAATCACTAATTTTTTTGGACCAAGTTTAGCCTAGAGACCCCTTGATTGCTTTTTATTTCAACAACTATTTTTAAGCTAATAGTTCACTTTTTATATCCATCCATTTACACACATTTTTATAATTTTGCCTTCTGTTGCTTACAGACATATGTCTTCATCTTTTTGAGGATTCTAGCATTCTGAAAGGCCAACCACACCCACCCCTTGCATAAAACCTGTCAGACTGTTTTAAAACTTAATTTAATCCGAAGTGAATTCATGACGCAATTGTTGATTTTAAAAATATTATATTTCTTTATATGTTAAGCTTTCTTCTTCAATTCTTTTATATTTTATCTGTCTTCACTTCTATCTCTCTAGTCTCTTTGAGTAATTTCCAGTGGGCTTTCTGGGCTTCAGGCAGCATTTGGTTAGTTTTTTATTATCTACCCCAGCCTCTAATCTCCTGATAGGAACAGAGAAATTCCACCCTAGCTACTGGGTTTCAAGAAATAAGCCTGACTCCATCAACATCTTGCACTTTTGGTCCCCATTTTTTTTTTTTTCTCTGAAGCGATTTACCTCCTGGATGATACGGCTGCTTCTAGATTTAAGGCTCTGCAAAACCAGTTTTAGTTCCCACATTCCCTTAACACGTTTGTTCCTTTTCTGGTCCACTGAAATAGTTGTCTTATAAAGCCTGGCTATATCCTTTTATGCTTGTTTCTTTTTATAATCTATTATTACTATGTGTTTGAAGTAGAAAAGTATGATAAAGCATGACTTACTATGTTGTTCTGATTATAAGCCCTGAATAAGCTTTTAATATTCCAGGAGGCCTTTCCTCCACCTTTACAAAAACGAGCTTAAAGATATTAGGAATATTTTAATTATAAAATACTCAAGTAAAAACACCACCTTCACCATACAGTTCTTTACATTACCGAATTGGCTGTAGTTGATTAGAGTTTCTGCTACCAAGCTTTCTTTCTATCATGTCATAATGGGTCAAAAGTACCAGCAATTTCTCACATGCATAGTGATTGGGCCACTCCATTTTTTCAAGAGTAAATCTCTATAAATATAATAAAAATAAAACAAGATTTTGTTATCTCTTGGAGACAAATAGCACTCCTAGGTGATATTAATATTTTTTCCTTTAGAATTAACGTAAGTTAAAGTAGTATCAATGAGAATATTCTAGAAACAATGAGCCTCCTAAGGAAGAATCATTATTGCATAATGATTAAGAGTGAAGGCTCTCGGTTTGAACGCCAGGATGATATTTCTTAGATGTTGGGTAACTTACTTAAACTCTCTTAGCCTCAGTTTTACCATCTGTAATGTGAAAATATTACAACCCACTTCACAGATTACAAAGATTGAGATTACATGCAATGCATTAAACATAACAGCAAATTTAAATGTCTAACAAATGTTGGCTGTCATTATTAATGTGGCTGTCGTTCTTAATGTGGCTGTCATTACTTACAGCTGGTACTTGTAAGTACCCAGTTGTTGCAATTTATTGAGCCACTCCGTGTCCCTAGCCACTATATTAGGAGTTAATATAAATAATCTCATTTAATCCTCATGGTGACTTTATGAGATAAGTAATATTATTTCTGTTTTGAGAATAACACACATCCAGGGTCACACAGTAGGTGGAATACGGTCCAAATTTAAATTTAGGTCATTAATTTCAGATATCAATGTTTTTGTAAATGATACTACCTTCCATAATTATATACTTGATCTTAACATTCTCTTGTTATTAAACCCTCTTCCCCCAAAATATCCATGGATGCAATATATCCACATATGCTAATTAAGGCATCTTCTAAAACAGCATAACTATACTTTGTCTTATAGTGTGCAAAGATGGCCACTGTATGGCAAATGAGAGAGTAGAAATAAATGCTGAAAAAATATAAGAGCTGCCTGTTTTAATTTTAAACCTCCTCTAAGACCAATCAGAGTGAATATCTGTTCCTATCTTTCCAGCATATAACTTCATACAGTAAAGAAGAATTTATTTTCAGATACCTGAAACAATAACAAATCAGGTCTTTGGTACCTGATAACCTTCACCAATTTATCCTTGTTTAAAAGGAATTCTTGAATAACCTAGCAAGAAAAAAGAAAATAGAAACTGAGATTTAAACTTTTAAGAAAGTTTCTAAAATTAATAGAGTTGAATTACTGGATATTACCTCATGGAATGGGAATCCCTCACAACAGCAAGCTTTCCTGAAAAAAAAATTATATACATGTTATTACTATAATCAGACAATTTTAGACTCTGAAATCATCTCAGCCAATCTCCTCCCATTTAATAAGAAATGTGAATTTACAGTATCCCAAACAGTCAAGCTTCCCTTTGAATAACTATTACATTACTATCTCCTAGGTTAGCTAAATTTTTGAACAGAAATGAAAAAAAAATTTAGTTAAACATGTGACTAATCTAGATATGGGGAAAGATTATATGGAAATAATTCAACCAAAGGTATGTGTATAGGTCATGCCAGGAAAAATCATGAGTTTTTAAAAAAACTTACTTCTTAATATTGTTCTCTACTTCACTGAGTTGCCTATCATGTTCTGTACGGTGCCACTCACAAGGACAGCAGTATTCATAGTCATGTGGCTCACAATATTTATCACTTTTACATAATCTGCATCCATTACGTTCATGATCCTTAGGTGAACCTTTATGGAGACCCAAAAAAAGTATAATATTTTTTGCCTTTTATAATTACTTTCTACATACATTCTTTTTGCCAGTATCTAAATTTTCCAAAATTAATATTGCCTAGCACACTACCTAGCATATAGAAAGGTTTCAATACATTTAGGATGAATAGAGTAATAGACACCATAGTAATTCTTGGGCTCAAGTAGATCTTGAGCTATTACTATCACATGACACTTTAGAAAAAATTATTCTTCTATCTGAAAGTGTTAATTAGACACTTGAAATTATACATTTACAATAATCAACAACAGAAAACTTTCTGGTTTAGGTGGAAGCTACATGCATAAAAAGTAGGATGTAATTACTAGCAAAAAAGATTATTTACTTAATAGAATAGCTCTAATAGAATAGTTTCTTTAACGAGTGTATTAAAAGAATATAGCAGTTAATTACCTCTGCTAGTGTCTAGCTCTCAGTTACAGTTATTTTTAAACTATCCTTGGAACATGAACAAATGATGACTGTGGCACGGGTGTGGAAATTTAATTCCCTTTAAAAGCAAAGTGTGATTACTTTCAACATTGTCTTGAGAATATGTAAGAGCACATATACTTGATATGACCTAAAATTGTCATTTATAAGTTATCAAAAAACTATACAATAGCATCTTATTTATAAAAACATTGATTTTCTTCCATGATTTTATCTATAATTTAATAATGTTAATAAAAATATATTAAGACAACTAGATATAGCAGAATTTCTTTTAAAAGATGAGTTAACATGATATCCTAATCTCTTTTGGGAATGAAAGGCCTTTCTGATCCAGTACGTGTTCCGTAGTGTCTTTTTTTTTTTTAAACCAAGACTAATGAAGAAGATCCAAGCTATTTTCAAGAATAGTGAACATGTATTAGAAATTAGTTTTAAGTCACTGTCTTCACACACAAAATGCATTACAGGACAATGAAGAATCATTTAAGTAGATAAATATAAATCACCAATATATTAACAAATGGTTTCAGTTCCATTTTCCCTAAGACTTATTAGTATATATTTTTTTCTTAAAATGGATTTCTATATTGAAAACATAGTTTTAAGATCTAAGTAATTTGGTATCATAGTTTGAAACTGTACTTATATTTATCATCTACATCACATTATTGGTTTCAATAAACATTTACTGAGTGACTACTATGTGTATATAACAAAACTGACTGCAAGGAATTCCTAATCTAGTGGAGAAGACAATGTAAAACCCTTCAAAGTATTATTAATATTGGCATGTAAAAAGTACTATGTGAACAAGAATTAAAACATGGGTATGAGATACTAATAACCATTCCCTATGTCTCCTTACCTGGATGGGAACATACGGAACAATGAGCCAGTTTTTTAGTGACTAGCAGTTGTGGACTAGAGTTACAAGATGTTTCATTCCACCGATTAAACCTTTAATAGAAAGTGGTTTTTAAAAAAAGGAAAAAAAATGAGGTCACAAAAACGGTATGTTCTCAAATATCAGGCTGATCTATTCCCTTTCACCTACCTAATTATTTTCCCTTTGGTGGCTGATAAAGTTGCTGGCCTAGTGTGGGAAAACCCTCAGTCACAAGCTTTAAATGTGGCCCCAAGGCCCAAGGACAGCAGAACTGCAAGACAGGAGAGAGAGTATATGTGTGTGTGTATCTATATATCGGTATCTCTATTAAAAAAAATTGTATATATATATATGTATGTATATATATATCCAATCAGTCTTTTTTTTTTGAAGAATCTTAAGTTAGGCAGCAGTATGTGAGCAGACTGACTCTGTGTGCCAGAGTACAAAACAGAATCATGAACATTTCTCTATATCAGAAAGAAGAGTAAAGAGTAATATATAAAATTAAATAAAACATTAATCTTCTGGGTGAAAACTGTATCAAAAAGCTAAATCATGTAAAATAATCATTTCTTAATCTCTTGTGCAAAGAGCAAAACATTACCTGCTTCATAAAAGATTTTAAGAAAAATGTATAGTACTATAAAGATTTCTACTAATTAAAAGTTAATTTCGTTTTTGGCTAAAGTTCCAGGTTAACATAAAGCCACAAAGGGTATGGTTAGGTATTAATCATAAAACGTATGTGTTCTGAATTATGTTCCTCTACTTAAACAAGTTGAAGTTTTTATAAAAGCTAAATTATCTCTTCAGGTCATTGTGCAGTATCTGGTACTTAAGAGTTACTATTTAGCTTCTGGAATTTCTAATTCATTTACTACAAAGACCAAGTACAAGCCTGTTAAAAATTAGCATTAATTGCTTCCAGATAAAGAATAGCACGGCAAAAATTAAAAATAACTGAGAGGAAAAGTCAGTATATAAAACAGAATAATAGATAATTATAAAATAAATGTAATTTTATTATTTTCAAGTGTCAACAGTGCTTATTTGCTGAAACTGTTTCAATAAGAATGGTTTGGAGTTAGCCAGGTGTTATATTCACTTGCTTTTCCTTCTTTATATTATTTTTTACAATTCCCAAATGATTCCTTAACTCACACCCAGGCCAAATTATACCTTTCCTTTCTTGCTTGGGCACAGTAATAACTGATGTCAATAATGGATTTACTGAAGTCTTACATTTATCAACAGTTTTACAGCTAAAAGAGAAGTATCATAGGAAAGAATACAGTGATTTGATGTATTTTTTATGGTCATTCCTTTTTCATTTTTACCTCTTAACATTTTTTTCAGGCACTTGCCATCTCGAACCTGCTGGAGGCCAAGACTGTTTTAAGTTTCCCAGTGTCCTAGTTCCTTTCTTATTGATTCTATACCTATCATCATTAATATTAATTTTTATAAAACATTGCTTTCATCAGCAAATATAATTCATGTGTTTTTGAGATAGTAAATAGCATAGTTTGTTAACTTCTATATAATCTGCATCTTGTTCTGAATCCTCCAACTATAGAGACTAAACGAATTAATGTTATTATTAAATATGTAGCTATAAAGCAAAGGCCAGTCGAGTAAGATTTCAATTAATGTTGCTTATTATTAAATATTTACAACACGCCACAGACATTTCATTTATAGAAAGAAAATACAATATCAAAGTATTAAATACAAAATTATTTTAATGTCATGTTTATCTTTACCTTTTGGTAAAAGGGTTTAAAATAGCTAGTGGCAAAATGCCCATGGTCATACATAAATGCACTTGACATTGTACTAAATGTGTTTAGTGAGCTAATAATAGATTTTTTAAAATGCAGTATGGTGGCTGGGCACCGTGGCTCATGCCTGTAATCCTAACACTTTGGGAAACCAAGGCAGGGGGATCACTTGAGCCCAGGAGTTCAAGACCAACCTGGGCAACATAGGGAGACCCTATCTCTACAAAAAAAAAAATTAAAAATTAATATATTAACATGTTTAATATAAATAATATGTATATTTTAAATGTAGTATGGTGGCTGGGCACAGTGGTGCATATCTGTTGTCCCAGTTACTCAGGAGGCTGAAGTAGGAGGATCACTTGACTCCGGCAGGTTGAGATTGCAGTGAGCAGTGATTGCGCCACTGCACTGCAGCCTAGGCGACACAGTGAGACCTTGTCTCCAAAAAAAGAAAAAAAAATGCAATACGGCTTGGAACATGTATTCTCATCCTTCCTTTGGAAAATTTCAAAATAAATAAAAATAAATTATCTTAAATCAAACAAAATATAGGTCAGTTTAAAAATACAAAACCCTTTTTTGGAAAACAATTGTTTCCTGTACTATTCGTTATTAAGTTCAGCAAGAATAAAGGTTCAATGTCACAAGAGAAAGTAATTATTAGTTACCTCTGAAGTAAACTTTGCCCTTTCAAAATCTGTATAAGTTTTAATGCTTGCTCTTTTCCAACTCCAGGGACTCCCTTTCAGAAAGTGGGAAAAAAAATAATTCCAATGTTAATCACTAGGAATGGTTAAAAGTATATTAATTGAACGGAAGAGTCAGCAGCTGAAAGAATGAGGTAACTCTTCAATAAAGATAGGAAAAGATATGCAAGATACACTGCTATGCATAAAACAAAAACTTCACAATAGTGTATATGATCAGGATTTGTAAAGTAAATGACAATTACACTGTTATCTATGTAAACAAAAATTTCAGCGAGTTATATACCAAACCACTGATGGTGTTTATTTTAGGGAAGGGAGGGTCATAATTTTAGAGGGCTTTCATTTACTATGTTAATTATTTGGATAATATTTTAATTTAACCTAACTTTATGTTTGTAATCAGGAAAAAGCAAGTTCATTTAATTACATGAACATTTAATATTCCAAAACCCAGACATAAACAGAGAACGAAGGAACGTTTTAAGTTAACTCTTGAAATTAAAAACTTAAGAAAATTTAAAGTGTGAATTTCCAATATACGAAAATGATATGCCTTAATGTATATTCCTGTCACAATTTCTGATTTAAACTGAGTCTTCCAGCCCCTATAAGTGTATGAATATGTCCTTATAAGCAGAGCTGTTATTTAACCAGTACACACTAGGATTTACACACTCGTGTTAACTGGTTAGTAAATAGCTACTGCCCAAGCATTCTGAGTATCTGCCTGCACAGGAATGTCCCATCTAACCTGAATACTTCCCAATCCACCTATACCCAGAATCCAGCTACTAAAAAGAGAGTCTATGGCACAGCAGGGATACCCAGAAGTCTCTTCCATCTCTATTGCCTATGTCTTTGGCATACACGTTATTAGATATCTTGAATATCATTCTTCTTGTATTAGCATTAGCTTTAAGTTTTTGAAGGCAAATCAAGTTAGTACATAGTCTTAAAAGTCTTTAAGTAGAACAATGTAAATACATAGCAGTTTTGGTTTTAAAAAACACAAAAGGTCAATATAGCTATGGCTAATGCATAATTTAAATACCACTGTAGCTAAAGTTGGTTTCTGTGAGTTCAAGTCAGCAAATTTTTTCTTAAATTAAACATTGGGCTGTTTATAGATTTTAATTATGATATAATTTTATTTAGGAAATCGTCTTTTACTTTAGAAGGAGAATTACAAAATAATGGTTTGTGGTATTTAAAAGTTTCTTTCCTCCTGCTTTCTTTTCCTCACAGTTTAAAAAAAGTTCTTTGATGATATAAATTACAAATTAGGCTTAATAATTTTATTACCCTGCTATATTTTCCTTTCTCCTGAGCTCAGATGGAAAAAAAATTACATGTCATTCTTCTTTATACTTCTCTTGGGAATAGAGGTAAAATGACGGATTGTAAGGATACAGAAATAATCAGTAGGAACATAATAAGGGAACTACATAGTAAGACCTACAATACCAGTCATTTTCTATTTTTAAACACTACATTTAAAAAAATGGGATTATTCTCATAATACTTAACTCATCACTCACCTGTTATACCTATTTGTTACAGAGCACTAGATTGTGCATCTTAAGATACAAATATTTCCATGAACAAAACCCAGCACAACGCTGAGAGGCATGGAAATATGAATGGCTTATCCCAATGATCACGTGACTTAGCAACAGTAATAGCATTGAGCATGTGCACAAAGAATACTGAAAACTAAAAAACAGAAAAAAGAGTGAAAGAAACAATGGCATAATACAAGAAAAGAATAACTCCTATATTTATTTAAAAAGATAGTCAAACATAAATGTGAATCTCTTAATCTAGAGTAACAGTTTACTGAGATTCAAGCTGTGGTACTACATTATTCTATTCTTGCTTATAATATTAAGTGTCACAAGTCAGCTTTTTAGTGCCATCTGAAATGCCGATTATTTTAGTCACTGAATAGCTTATTATGCCTGAAATTATATTTTAAATTCGATTTTTAATCATATAGCCATATTATATTCATATTTATACAGCACATAAAGTACGAAAAAGACTTTATGAATAGCAAATAAATATGACAATTTCAGCTTACCTTTGGGAGATAATCACAGCCAAGAAGTATTGCTAATCCAACCAGAGCATCTCTATCCAAACCTAGTTTACTCTTGATAGATGACATTGTGTAACAGTCAACATGTGGGTCCTAAAGAAAGAACAGATTTAGTTTAATCCTCAAAAAGTACATATTTATACATTAAACCACATTACAAAAATAATTTGTCAATGTTATCTTTAAATGTTTAATTATTCCAGGCTGGGCATGGTGGCTCATGCCTGTAATCCCAGCACTCTGAGAGGCCAAGGTGGGTGTATCACTTGAGGTCAGGAGTTTGAGACCAGCCTGGCCAACATGGTGAAACCCCATCTCTACTAAAAATACAAAAAAATTAGCCAGGCGTGGTGGCATGTGCCTGTAGTCCCAGTTACTTGGGAGGCTGAGGCACAAGAATTACTTGAAGCCAGGAGGAGGAGGTTGCAGTGAGCTGAGATCACACCACTGCATTTCAGATTGGGTGACACAGTGAGACTACGTCTCAAAAAAAGAAAAAAAGTTTAATTATTCCAAAAACTTTATATAAGAAAATTATCCTGATCAGCAGAATCTTTATAGAATCTGACATTTCAATATATGAAAATAAAGTTGTAGTTTCAAAAATGGCTTAAAAATAACTATGCTAGCCAATTTTTTCCATTTTATTGCTTTCTGGTGTCTAAAAAATGTAGATTTCCATCTTACAAAATAAAACACTGTAACATATATATATATATATATTATAGAAAGTAAACATTCCCCGTAACTGCACTGCCTGAGCTATCATTAATAGCTTGGTGCATATTCTTCCAAAAAACCATCTCCTTTGATACATATATATGAATATTTATTGTTAATTACGTTTTTTAAGTAAAAGTAGGATTATATAAAAATACTATTTTGAGAAATTTTCCACCATTAATATGTCTGGATATCTTTTATGTCAATAATAGCCTTTTCAATGACTGCACTGTATTACATCATATGGACTCTGAAACAGTGTTTCTCAATGGGGGTGCTAATATTAGCATTTCGGGAGGGATAGCAGAAATGTCTGGCAGAAGGTTTAGTTTGGTTGGCACCAAGCCATCACATATCTATACTCTCCTTTGCCCAAGCCTGAACTGTTGCAACCAAAATGTCTCCCAGCAGTATCTCTCCAACTGGGAACCAGTAAGTGTGAAGGATTTAACCATGTCCCTATCAATGAGCACTCGGGCTGCTTGCCAAATTTTTGTAATTATTAACAATGCTACATTGAACATCTTTATATCTCTCTCTTTGCATATTTGGAGGTATTTCTGAGGATGAAACACTAAACTGGAAATTCAGGATCAAAGCAACACATTTTCATATGCAATTCGTGATGTATTTTTGAAAATGATTTAGAATCAAACCATGTGAAACAAACAAGTCAAGTTCTTATGAGATAAATCCACATTTTGAAGAGAATGAACTATGTGGCAATGATTTTTAATAACAGTAAGCATTTTAATTAGCAATTGCTACGTGCAAGGCATTACAGTAAGCATTTTATATCTACTATTTCATTTAATCAGCCCTTTAAAAAAGGTAGTTCGTAAACAAATGCTGAAAAAGAGAAAGAAAATAAACACCTTTGTATTCATAGTGAAATTCCTGTAAACAGTCTGGGCCCCATAAAGGAAAGTATCTCCATCATTGGTGAGGCAGCCATCGACATGACCACCAGCATTGAGATAAGCACACATGGCTTCAGCTTCCCCAGCAGCCTGAACCCAGGGGATTCCTAAGCATTCGAGCATATGGAGGCACTGAAAACAAAAAGCAGGTGCAAGATGTTAAAGAATGTTTTCACTGCTCATTTATTTACTATTAAACCTATTTCTGTATTACAAATATTAATAGTAGCTATTTTGGTGTTTTAAAAATTACGATATTTAAGAAACACTTGGAAATTTGAACAATGACTGAATATTTGAGGGCTTTAAGGAATGAACTGCCAAACTTTTACGTGTGCTAATAAAAATTATATTGTGGTTATGTTTCTTTTTATTTTTTAGGAATCATCTTTTAGAAAACATGAAATACAGGGAATGATACAATATTATGTCTACGATTTGCTTCAAAATGATGTGTGGATAGGGGAATAGATGAAACAAGATGAGCCAAGATAATGGTTTAAGATTAGTGATGGGTTACTTTTGTGTTGATTTAAATTTTCTGTAATAAAAAATTAAGATTTTAATGTTAATTACAAAGTAATCCATATTCACATTTCATTGCTATTATAGTCAGATTCTGAAAATATCTTTAAATAATAATTAATCATATTAAGATTTACATCTAGAAGACTTCAATAATTTTTCTCACATGATGGTCAACCCAATACGCGTACTTCCAAAGAAGATGCTATCATACAGTTTTGGCTTGAATTTTAATGTTTGCATTTTTTTCTCATCTTGCCTTCCCTGTACAATGAAACTCTCGTATTGTGGGAAACTGCGGAGAAGTCAGCTGTCAGTGTCCTCCTAGGAAATCAAATGTTTGTGCAGAATGATTACATCATTTTGCTGATGCACAAATAATTTGCTGTGACTTTCCTCTGGTTTATGAATTTAACCCCGCTGGGTAGCTTGTAGTCTGGCCTTATAGCCTAGTTCATTCTTTCTTGTAATACGCCATTCTTTTTTGTCATGTATCATTCTCTATCAGGGACTACTGAGTATGGTGGGGAGAAAAGGCTACTTACTTGTAGTTTCTAGAGACTGACAGAATAAATACCATTTCTTGCTTTGATTAATCACTTCCACGCCACATTACATAATAACTACCACTGTCAGATGTTGCCCAAGGCAGACAAGGTTCAAAAAGTCAAAGTACTATGTTGAAAAATATCACTTTTCAGGACGCTGGCCCCGTGATTTTAGAGAGACAGTTTTGTGACAGTGTTGCTTCGACCTTACCCCTAGGTAAAAAATAGCCTTTCATAATACAGTTATTTCAACTTCTTGTACTATTTGCCACTTCAAATTTTTTCAAAGAACCAGCACAGAATTTCCTATAAGGCTGTTGCAATTTTTCCCACTCTATGTCTCTACCATGTGGGGTGGAGGTGGTATTGGAGGACTACTAATTTGTGCTTTTCATGCGAATACCTAAAAGATAGCAGTGGATTAGGAGGAAGCAGGGCCTAGTAACTGAAGAGTACAGAAATATAAAAATGACTAACAGGCAATACTGAACTGACACAAAATGCCTAAGAACACCATAATTACTGCAGCAATAAAGAAACAGGAATGGAGCAATTTTCTTAAGAAGAGATGGACATCTCTTTTTTTGTTTTATGCTGGTTCTTTAACACTCTAAGATTGAGGACCATGAATATTTCCAGGAATTGATTATACAAGAAGTAATTAGAACTTAGCACAGATATTTTCTTCAACTGCTGATAGTCATTAGGGTGGAATATTCACTAATTGAAAACTATTTTTAAAAGTGAGTAGAAAATAAAATTTCAGAAGAGGAGAAAAATGGCATAATTTTTTAACTAAAATTAAAAAGAAAAACAAATTCAAAGCAAATATGATAGAAGCTTATATCCTTAATACATAAAGAACTTGCACAAAAGAAAAATTAAAACCTCAAGAGGTAAGTAGGTAAAGGACATGATGATAGCCATTACCCAAAGGGAGACTAAAAATAGATGAAATGTTTAACATTACTATTAAAAGACAAATGCATATTAAATATCTTTGTTGTTGCACACTAAATATTACAAAGACAAGCCTCCTAACATCCAATGTTCTTGTGAGTGCACCGACACTGCTTCTCTGACATCTGCATTAGCAGAAATTAATCAGCAAGAGCAATAAAATCATTCCAAAACTTTGACCCATCAATCCAACATTGGGTAATTTTATCTAAAATTTCAAATCACAAGAAAACATTATATACACAAAAAATGTTAATCACACTTCCATGTATAGTAGAGAAAAACTAAAAAAGTAAATAACATATACAATCAGGGGTATGATTCATAGCTTCATACATGTTGCACAACCACTACAAGTTATGATTTTGATTAGAATGTGACAAAAGGGAAATATGACAACATGAAGCATTAAGTGAAAAGGCTAGGTTAAAAATCATGTGTACTACTACAACTCTTTAAAAATACACACATTTGAAAACAGACAAAAAAGGCCAGGCACAGGGGCTCACACCTGTAATCCCAGCACTTCAGGAGGCCGAGGCAGGCGGATCACGAAGTCAGGAGATCGAGACCATTCTGGCTAACACAGTGAAACCCTGTCTCTACTAAAAAAAAAACAAAAAAAACTTAGCCAGGTGTGGTGGCGGGCGCCTGTAGTCCCAGCTACTCGGGAGGCTGAGGCAGGAAAATGGTGAGAACCCAGGAGGCGGAGCTTGCAGTGAGCCGAGATTGCGCCACTGCACTCCAGCCTGGGTGACAGAGCGAGACTCCATCTCAAAAAAAAAAAAAAAACAACCAAAAAAAGAAAACAGAAAAAAAAAAGCTTCCTATTGTTTTAATTATATACTATAGATGATTTCTTTCTTAAGTTTCATACAAATATAAAATATAGCAATATTAAAGTAACATATAAATAATATATTATAATGTAACGACAGTTTTTAAAATTACAAGCCCTAAGGGAAGCCAAATATATATTCTGTATATGAACTATCATGAATTCTGAATGAGTGAAGTACGAATTAATGAGATCTCATGTATTCTGGGACTTCTTTAAGTCCTGAAGGTGTTATAAAAGGTAATATGATCAAGTTCCTACCATGTACTAGTTGCTTTAGATATACTTTCTCTTATTTTTATCACATCCCTGCTGAGTATTACTGTTGTCATTTCACAAGGTAACATACAAGGTAGAGATAGGTTACAAATTTTGCTCAGTGTCTCAGAGTTTCTACATACCAGTGCCAAGAATGAAACTCAGGTCAATTTCACTCTAAAAAATAAACTCTTTTCTCTAGGCACATCCCTGCTAGTCACAATAAAATTAATAAGTATTAAAGATGACAAACTATTAAGAGTAAAATGCACCCTTTAATTCAAATCGGAATTACTGAATCAAATCTGAATGCTCACCTCTCTTAAGACTGATTTAAAATGTGATCTCCCTGTTTTCTGAGACCACGATTTTCCAGAAGACCCATACCGAGACTGATTCCTCTTGCTTATGACATCAGCTTTCAGCTTTGGTGGTTCCCCTTCCATAACAAATACCAGTTTTACATCCATTTGTGTTAAATATGAGATACGAAAAAATAAGTTCCTGAAATATATAAATTAGTAATACATTAATCATCAAACACTGATAGTAAAAGTCAAAATAGTATAACACAAAGGCAAGAACATTAGACTAGTATCAAAAACGTTAATGTAATAACATTTTACTTAAGCTTTAATTAGAGTGGAAAACCACTGAATTTTCTTTTTCTTTGACAGAGTCTCACTCTGTCACCCAGGCTGGAGTGCAGTGGCATGATCTTGTCTCAGTGCAGCCTCAATCTCCTGGCTCAAGTGATCTTCCTGCCTCAGTCCCCAAGCAGCTGGGACTACAGGTGTGTGCCACCATGCCCGGCTAATTTTCTGTATTTTTTGTAGAGATGGGGTTTCACCATGTTGCCCAGGCTGGTCTTGAACTCCTGAGCTCAAATAATCCGCCCATCTCAGCCTCGCAAAGTGCTAGGAATACAAGTGTGAGCCACTGTGCCCGGCCAAAACCACTGATTTTTTTTTTTTTTTTGAGGTGGAGTCTCACTCTGTTGCCCAGGCTGGAGTGCAGTGGTGTGATCTCGGCTCACTGCAACCTCCACCTCCCAGGTTCAAGTGATTTTCCTGCCTCAGCATCCCAAGTAGCTGGGATTACAGGCATCTGCCACCACACCCAGCTAATTTTTTTTTATTTTTAGTAGAGATGGGGTTTCTCCATCTTGGCCAGGCTGGTCTCAAACTCCTGACTTTGTGATCCACCTGCCTCGGCCTCCCAAAGTGCTGGGATTACAGGCGTGAGCCACTGCACGCGGCCAAACCACTGAATATTTTTAAGCAAGAAAGATTTATGATTATTCTAATTGCTATGTGGAAAATAGTCTGGGGTAGGGGAGGCCAAGAGCAAGAAACTAGTGAAGATGGCACTTCAGGAGTATAGATGAGAGATGAGGTTGGCATAGACTGAGGTGGTGCCTCTGGACACTGAGATAAGTTTGTGAACACAAAGTATATTTTGGAGGTAGAACTGGCAAGACTTACTGACGGATTAGATGTGGAGAGAAGTAAAATAGGGAGAAAATGTCTCCCAAATCTCCGGCTTTTAGTATCTGAAGCATCCTAGTGGATACGTTAAGTAGGAGATAGCTATGTGAGTCTGGAGCTCAAAGGGTAAGAGGTACGAATGTGAGTCCTTAATATAAAGATGGTGAATCTAGACATGTTAAATAGATCTTAAAACCTCAAAATGTAAAAGAATAACAACAACAAAAGAAAAAAAAAGGTGAAACAAAATCAAGATACCAAGACTGTTTATACATCATACATTTATACTGTAAGAGCTTTTACTATACCTGAGGTGGGGCTTCATGACGCTGCCCATCATTTTTTTGACTGTCTGTGCCTCACACACCCAGAGACTCAGATCAACTGCAATGGTTTTCCCACCAAGATTACGCAAGGGGATGTGTTGCTTAACAGGCTCCAAAATTTGCCACAAGTCATTCACTCCCATTCTGGTGATTATCTGCTGTTATGTGAAACACACTTTACAAAATATTGTTAAAGAAACAGAAGCTCATAACAGGAATTCAAACAATATATTATAAGCCAGTTCAGGATAATTCATAGAGGATATTCCTTATTTTTTTCATCAGTCAGCGTTTCAAAATGAATTAAGAACACCTGAAACGTTAAAATGGCGGTAATTGGCTTTTTCCCAGCTAAAAACAAGAGCTAACAAAAGCAGAGATCGGTAGCGAATGCAAGGATGCTGTAAATCATTTTTGTCTACTTGAAAATTCACTCCTTGATTTACATACTTAGAGAATGGGACTAATTCTCTATCATACCCAGGAAAAAAAAAAAGAAAAGCAAGGAAGCATGCAAACAAACTAAAGAAAAATGGGGTTAATAAAGGAAAACTTAGAAAAGTGAGGGAAGAAGAAACGAGAGAAAATGAAGTTAGAGGAATACTGATGGACATAACTTTCTTAAAAGGGCGTTGGCTTTTTAAATTGCAAGGTCACATAATGTTCATTGTAGAAAAAGAAAAAAACTTTTAATCACTTATAACTTTTAACCACCACCCAAAGAAAACTAAAGTTAAACCTTTTTCCACGTACATGACATTTTAAAAACAAAATTGGCTTAAACTTTGCTACTATTATCTGGTTTGGTATTTTCTATAGGCCAGCTTTTCCTTATTATACATCTATATTTGGTTTTCTTTCCCTTTGTTATTATTTGGTAAAGACATTAAGTAGCATGTGCAATGAAAATTCAATCTGACGACACAAATACAACCCAGATTATCCTCTAAATAATGACCTTCATTCATTCCAGAAACACAAGGCAGGAGACAATAATATATTAAGTCAAAAGACTATCACCTTTATGCAGAAACCTTCTGAATAAAAAGTACTGTATTGTCTGTACCTTTAACAGAGTTCGTTCTAAAGGTAAATTTTCTCAAATTGCCCATGGGTGCAAAGAAAATAAATGCTGGAAGCGTTGCTGTCTGTGACTTACCCTGTTTTTCTGAACCTGAATTTTATAGTGTGGCCAGTGCTGCCATAAGTATTATTCCTTTTTTTTTTTTTTTTGAGACAGGGTCTCGCTCTGTCACGCTGGCTGGAGCGCAGTGGCGAGATCTCAGCTCAGTGCAACCTCTGCCTCCCAGGTTCAAGTGATCTGCCTGCCTCAGCCTCCCAAAGTGCTGGGATTACAGGCATGAGCCACCACACCCAGCCCTGCCATGAGTATTATTCTGTGTACTCATTTCTATGAAGTGTACAGTGACATCTATGGATGTCACTTTACAGATAAAAATATACAGACTTAAAGGTAAAGAAAGTATTTGGTAGTAACAGTGGCCCAGAATATTGTCTATTTCACATCCTGAAGCCCCACTGGTTGAATGTACCATTGTGGCATTAATTCAGTTACTGTGAAAAGTTGTGGTTAATTCTGGAAAAAGAGTGCAGTACAAATATTCTCAAAGTCATTATTATGAAGAGAAATGAGACAAATTATTAACCCATCAGAACACATTAAACCAAAAGTCTGAGAAGAAAGTTATTGACAGTTTTGCTTTCCTTTGTGACTCACGGTGCACACTGGAATAGATTGCTATCGAAGACAATTATGCAATTCCTTTGTTCTAATTTAATTTAAATGTGACCCTGACCCTAGCAGTCAAAATTTTAAATGCAGGTTATCTTCTGGTTTAGCAATATCTCTTCCAGGAACTTAAGATATGTTACGTGGTGTGTATGGATTTATACAACAATATTCACTGTAGCATTGTTTATAATAGTAGACACTGAGAAGAGCTAGGTCTCCATACAGGACTAATTAAGTAAATTATGGAATATTCAAACTAAATTAGATGATATAGCAAATAAATCAGTAGGATAGAAATACATGTACTAATAAAAAAACTGACCCAACTTTTAAAATGAAAACAGGTATGAATATGTTAGGGATGATTACAGTTCAGGGATGGCAAGAACCACTTTTCAAAACATATCCCTTTGTGTTGTTTCATTTTTAAAATACCATATGCCTGTATTACTTTTCAAATTAGAAAAAAGTTAAAAAATATGTGACCCTATTTATTAGGAGTTGGAGAAATAAACCAGAAATCTTTTTAGATGGTTTGCTTCTTGGCTAAATATTAAGTGACAAATTTAAATAGAATTCATGGGTCAAATTAAAAAGTACTGTTCTGCAAATTTACAAGTACTTGAATATTAAATACTACTTCAGTATAGCTTTTTGAGGGAAGAGAAATTCACATTTTCTGGTTTCCTTCAGATTGCCTAGAACTAGTCCTGTGGAGTTGGCCAGGGCACATATTTTCTCTGGCAACTTCCGGTTCTAAGGTTCAACATTCCTACCCTGTTTCTAATGATTCCTTTCGTAGGTTGACTACACATACACAAATGAATAGTAGTGAAGATTGCCACCTAGTGCAGTGATGTTTATGATGGCACACATAAACACACATTTATATATAGGACTGTGATGTTAACTGTATTCCTTCTGAGGGTTATGGTAAAAAAAAAAATAAAACAGCAATAAGGTAGACTCTTGATTTTATAAACTGCAGTCCTCTAAGTATTTCAAGTATATTAAGATCATTGTGTAAAGCTGTTAATTAAATATATTATTAACAGGGGGCAGCCATGCCTAAAAAAAAAAAAAAAAAGTCCAGCACTGATTCGATTATTGGAAACCCCTAAGCAAGATAAAGAGGGCTTTTAACCCCATAAATAATATCTTTAATATCACATGATTACTACAGTTAGAATTTAGTTTTTATTATTTCATTTCTTTTGTCGGAAACAAACCTGGTTTAAAGAATGATTAACCATGGTTAGTTCTGAAAGAGGAAAATTATGTGAAATGTACATTTTATTAGAAAGAACATCATAATATTTTAAGAACGCAATTAACTCCAAATCTCTGTTTCCATCATCAATTGTTTTCCATTCCTTATCACATGTTCTTTGCACCAGCTGTTCCGCGGAAGTGATATTAAGAAGCAATGGTTAAGACTGTAAAAGCATAAAACATTCCAAAAAAGGACAGAATGCAATAGCTTCTAAGATATTAAAGTACAACTACACTGAAAGATAGAACAGATGGTTCTTGCATGAGGTCATAATCAATGTGATGAGGTTATTTGAAAATGGCTCAGCATTAAGTAAAATTTAAAAATACTACACTAGCCGGGCATGGTAGCTCATGCCTATAATCCTGGCTCTTTGGGAGGTCGAGGCAGGCGGATCACCTGAGGCCAGGAGTTTGAGAACAGCCTGGCAAAATGGTGAGACCCCATTTCTATAAAAATAAATAATAAAAATTAAAAATACTACACCAAGAACTATGTATAATTTCATCTTGCTTTTTAGTTTTTTTTACTATGGTAAAATTTTAAATTTTTTTGGTGTGGGATTTGGTGAGTTCCCACTCAAATCTTTTATAATGAATAAGTATATTGATGTCAATCTGTTCATACAATCAACATATATATATCAAAAGAAGTCTAACATCTTCATAATTTTTTAAGAATTAGCTGTCACACAAGTCTACTTACATGAATCAATGATGTAAGAACAACACATAGCAAATAACTTTATAAACCTATTAATGGCTTAAATTGATTTAGCTTACTTATTTGAATCAACAAAGTCAGAACACATAGCAAACCACTTCATAAGCAATGGACTTCAGATAGGAAGCCTAGGATTTGGGTTTTGAATATACCACTGATTAGGTGTATGACCTTGGGAAGACATTTAACCGTTCTACAAAATGACAGGTATTAAACCAGATGCATTACAAGATTCTAATATCTGTAATCTAGTATTTAATATTTGAATTGCATGACCAACTGGTAGCATGGAATAAAAAAAAATCACTCTATTTCAGAAAGTATTGCTTGGTATAATAGAAAGAACATAAATTTCCATCTTAAAGGACTTAAGAATCCACTTCCAGTTAAAACAAAAACAAGTCCTTTGATGTAACCATATGGTGCCCATAAATCAATTTAAGTTCCTAAAACTTCCTTAAAAGCTAATAAGCTTTTATTGGTTAATTATAAAACTGAATGAGGTGAGAAAAACACAGAACCTTGTTAATTTCACTAATGAATCAAATTTAAAGAACATAAAGAGGTCAGGGGCTTAACTGATGCAAAAATACACACTTTATTAAAGCAAGTTTTGCAATTTAGTTCAGCTTTAAGAAAAACATTAGAAAATTTACTTCGGAAAAGCAGAAAATGCTTAAATTTCCCAATTTCCATTTAGATGAGTATATATTCATATAAAGACTGGTAAATGGTGAAAACTATTTCAATGCAAGATTATATTTTAAGGGATTTACCACATAATCTCAGTAACTAATGCTGTTCTTTAAAATTATTTTTTCAATTTTATTTTCATATGAATTTAGCCTAAACGTTGAGGCATACTTCACGTTTATCAATAAATACTTATTAAATGTCTACTATTTAACAGGAAAGCTTTATAGGTGCTGGAGATACAATAATGGAAGATCAAGCCCTGCATTTAAAGACCTTAGTAGGGTAAGTGAGACTGCAGATAAAAAGGGCTTAAGAGGTAAGAAAGCAAGCTATAGTTGTATTTAGGAAAAAAGGTCCCCCACTTAGGAATCAAGGAACGGTTCCTGAAGCAAGTGACATGTAAGTAGGGACCTCCCAACCGTGTTTCCCATTGGTTACAACAAGGCCAGATGTTTTGGTCTATTTTGACTATGTCATATTTTTCGTTGATCCATGGCAAGGGCCACAGTAGGAATATAATATATATGTGATTACTTTTAGAAATAAAAAGTGACTTTGATGTAAAGAATTCCATTACCGGAGGCCAGAATTTCAACATCAATTTATTTGGAGGTGGAGTGAGGTGGCAGTCAATGCATTATTTTCCCCACACAGAAGAGAAGATTTTGGAGTATGAAAAGTAGGTTACTTGTTAGGTCAGCATATTCATGGGAAGGGTTGTGTAAAGACTGAAGCGGGAGTGTGGGGTTGAGAAGGGCGCTGAAACCTAAGCCAAGGAAGTTAAGACTTCATTACTTCTGACGTTTATTTAGGGGGTTTACACTCTAGGTTACCGTGGGGGAAAGACTGATTGTAAATAACTACAATACCTTAAAGTAATTACTATAACAGAACTATATCCGAAATACAAGGTTAACACGGAAAAGGGAACACCCAACTGTGCCTATGGGGACCAGGGAGGGCTCTCCCGGGATGGCTTTGAGCGAGGCGTGGGAATTATCCCCATCGCATGCCCGGGGGAAGCACAGCGGGACCCAGCAGCTTCGGCCAAGCGCAAGCGGCCGGAGAACGCGCAGCTTTCCCGAGGCGGGGTGACGCAGGGCCCTCGCGAGTGGAAAACAGGGGCCAAGTCGCGGCCTGGCGGCTCGGTTCGGACTTCCTACTTTATTCAAAGGGAGTCATTGAAGGCGTTTTCGGAGGAGCAGCGAACAAAGAGCTCGTCCGTAAGCCAGATGGTCAAAGGAATCAGTGGGAGGACCCGGGCGGCGCCGTCTCTCCACGTCCCGCGGGACTTACCCGGACAACCCTTCCTCCTTGGCTCTGGAAGAAGCCCCTTCGTCATTTACCAGTTTGGCCTGAATCCTAACTACTGTGCCTCCAAATTTCTGAATTTTCTCAAAAGGAAAAAAAAAAAGGAAAGTCCTCTTTCTTTACCCAAGCAAAGACTAGCTCCCCGGGCTCAACCGCCAGGCCCAGGAGCACCAGGAAGCGTTTCGAATCCAGCGCCGGGCCCGCGCGGCCCCGCCTCTTCCGGGAAGTGACTGACCCCTTTCCCCCAATGGGGCCCGCTCGGCTTTCCCTTGCCGGCTCCCAGCCGGCCTAGCGGACGCATGCGTAGACCAGCTGCCGGGGGCGCTCAATTATCTTTCCCTTTTACTTAGGCAAATCACTCACCTCCCCCGAGTCCGGTCACTGCGGAGCCGCCCGTGCCTACCAGCTTCCCCCACCCGCTAAGGGGCACTTCCGGCCTCTCAGACTCCGGCGGCGCGAAACCCCGCAACTGCGCAGGCGCGGGCGGAGCCCGAAGGGAGGGAGGGCGGGGCGCAGGCGCGGTTAGTACCGCGGTGGGCGCCGGGGCTCCCGGGAATCTACCTTCTCCTGCGGCCGGCACGCGGTTCCCAGGGGGCCAGCGGCGGTCAGCCGAGGTCGAGACGCCCGCAGGGTGGCCTTAGCGGCCGGTCGTACCACGGCAGCCCCGCCGATCAGGTTCCTTTGGGAGACTTCGACTTGTTGGCGGTAGGGTGAAGGCGCGCGCTGTCGCTTTCCCTTGCTCCGGGGTTCATCCTCCGCCCGCTGCCCCCTTGGCTGGCGACCCCCAGCCACCCGGGAGAGGCAGGGTCAGCTGAGCTGCGGCGGTGTTCATGGTCGTCCTTGCGGGCCCGGGCGGGAGATGTCCGTTCCTCGGGCGGGTCGGGCGGCCGGCGGCACCTTCGCGCGCTCTCCGAGGCGGCACCGGTCTCCTGAGCCGCGGGAAACCTGGCGTCTGCTCCGGGCCGTCCCCTCCCAGGCGGCCGTCCCCTCCCAGGCGGCCGTCCCCAGACTCTCCCGGGCTGTGGCGAATAACTGTAAAGCGGGGAGAGGTCTGGGGAAAGCTGGGGTAGGGAGTGGCTCTTAGCATGAGTCTGATGATATCTCGCAGGCGGCAACTGGTGTGTTTAAAGGGTGTATGCAAAGATCACTGAAATCGGATTTGTCATTAAAGCCCAGTTTTACGAAAATGCAAATTGTATTACCTAGAAAAATTAACATGTGTTCAAAGGTTTACTGATGGCATTTCTCTGCCCTCATTTCTTACAGAAATGAACCGGAGAAGAATCCCAATTGGGAATTGCGGAAAACAGGACTCTAGGGTAGAGAAAGGTTGTAGAACCAATAGGGTTTGAGGTAATACTGTGAAAATTCTTAGAGCAATCATTTGGTGTTTGAGCCCTCAAGACAGAAGTTTTGTGAGCGCTTATTACTCTGCATATGTCACGAGTAGTAGATTAAAAGCCAGTGTTTTAAAGGCAAACTTCTCAGTAATATATATTCAAAGGAAAAAAGAAAAACCCAAATCTCCTGACTTTTATATGGTTGCAGTGTGATCTTTTAACATGTACAATAGTATATACAGTGGCATGCAGTTTGTTCCATGGGTGTGTGGGTAGAGAGGGAACATATTAGAACTTCTATTTAGATTTATTTCATTTGATTTCTACGTGAAACATAGGGTATTAATTTTATGTTGGAACATGTATTTCAAATTTCTTTTGCTTAATGGGTGCAAGTACAAAACGTTTGGAGGCCACTAGTATATTGCCTAAAAGCGTGTATTTATATCACAAAAAGCCAGAATTGTGTGACTCTGAGCAGGTTGGTACCACCTCTTTAAGTTTCAGTTCTTCTTATGCAAGTTGGAAGAAATAATACAGTTATCAGTGCATCCTCTGTATCCGTGGACTCAATCAAGGGACTGAAAATATTTCAGAGGAAAAAAAGTGGATGGTTGCACAGACTTTTTTTTGTTCTTGTCATTATTCCCTAAACAGTACAGTATAACAACTATTCACATAGCATTTGCATTGTGTTAGGTTATATAAGTAATCTAGAGATAACTTTTAAGTATGTGGGGAGGTTATATGCAAATATGACACCATTTCATATAAGGGACTTGAGCATCTGTGGATTTTGGTATCTGAGTGAGAGAGAGGGGCTGTCATTTTGGAACCAATTCTTAGGGATTGACTGTACCTAGCTGACAGGATTCTTAAATATGTGGACACAGAGAGGAAGAGAAAGTTATGTAGTTATATATCGACATCTGTCTGCAATCCGTATAAACCAGTTAGTATTGAGCCTGGCAAAAAGTACACAAGTCATGTTAAAGGTATTACAGTGAAAAACAAGTTTTATTCCCCAAAGGTTTATTTTACTGAGTGTATTTTACTGAATCTGTAGAATTTTATGTAAAACCTACCTAAATCTTGACTGTCATTTTTAGACCAAAGTTAGGAAAAATAATTAAAGCTGTACTTGGCTTACTTTTAGGAATTAGTAAGTAACTCAAAATTTTACCGTGATAGCTTGCATTATATTTAAGACACAATTAAATGCCATAGTTCTTTATACACAACGATAAGTCCAGCTGACTGAGGGTCAAGCGTAGTTGCTTAGGTTAATGTTAGCATTTTTGATTCACTATTTAAACAAGTTAACATCTTTTCTCTCTGAGCATGCTTTTCTTGGTCACCAAATTCAAACTACTTCCAGTAGCTTCCTTAGCTCCACCCACAAATCTTTCTCCATTGCAGAGTATCCTTTACTACTGACTGGCCTCTATCTCAAAATACCTTAGGAGCACTTGAAACTCAGTGTTTTCTTTCTTTCTTTTTTTTCCTCTTTTTTTTTTTTTTTTGTTTGAGACAGAGTTTTACTCTTGTCGCCGAGGTTGGAGTGCAGTGGTGCAATCCTGCCTCCCGGGTTCAAGCGATTCTCCTGCCTCAGCCTCCGGAGTAGCTGGGATTACAGGCATGCACCACCACACTTGGCTAATTTTGTATTTTTAGTAGAGATGGGGTTTCACCACGTTGGGCTGGCTGGTCTTGAGCGCCTTACCTCAAGTGATCCATCCATCTCGGCCTCCCAAAGTGCTGGGATGACAAGGCGTGAGCTACTGAGCCCAGCCCAAACTCAGTGTTTTCAAATAAAATAAATTTCATTCTCCCTACTTGCCAAACCTGTTCCATGAACTTATAATGGCATTTAGTATTAAGTGTGAAGATGAAACACAAAATGAAGTTTTATAAAGCACACCCAAAGTTTTGATTGACTTTAATAGTAACATTAGAGAATCTTTTTTTTTTTTTTTTTTTTTTTTGAGACAGCTGTTCACTCTTGTTGTCCAGGCTGGAGGGCAGTGACATGATTTCGGCTCACTGCAACCTCTGCCTCTCAGGTTCAAGTGATTCTCCTGCCTCAACCTCCTGAGTAGCTGGGATTACAGGCATGCGCCACCAAGCCCAGCTAATTTTTTTTTGTATTTTTAGTAGAGATGGGGTTTCACCATGTTGGCCAGGCTGGTCTCGAACTCCTGACCTCAGGTGATCCGCCTGCCTTGGCCTTCCAAAGTACTGAGATTGCAGGCATGAGCCACCCGCCCAGCCAATAATAGAATCTTTTTTTTAAGTTTAATGAAGGATAGACGAGATGAAGGACAGATTAATAGCCAATTTCACTCTCTATGAATAATTAACTGTCAAACTTCAGTTTATGCCAGTAGGAACCTGGGCGTTAAAGAGGTTTAACTGGGTTTTGACAAACCTGGATTTGGATCTGAGCTCTGCTATGTTAGAGCTATAGAAGCCTTTGTATGTTAGAACTAAGTTGTAGCTACATAAATTCAAGTCATTTACTTGTGCCTCAGTCTCTCCTTTTGTAAAAATAAGGGCAATATTTATCTCATAAAGATGTTGGGGATCAAAGGAAATAGAAAGTGTTCATCTCAAAAGCTAAGTATGTAGTTATTCAGCAGATGTTAATTCTACTCACCCATTTGTACTCACCAATTCTACTAATTCAGTCTTTTAAATCTCTTGTTTTATCTCTTCCCTTTGTCCCTGATATTACCACTGCTTTTGTTTAGCAACTCATCTCTTCTGCTACTATTCTTACTTTCTGTTTCATCTATCTTCTATATTGAGCCACAGGATGTTTTCAGTACAGAAATCTAAGTGTTCAGATTTTATTAACTGAAATGCTGTGCTTTATACTTCCCGGTTTTGCTGATCCTGAAATTTTAGATGGGTGGACTTAATGAATAAGTCTCATATAATTTCGTGATATATTCCAAGCAGTGTACTTAATTAAGCACATTCAAAATGAAGTTGTTTACCATAGAATAAATGTCTGTTGTGATAGGCAGAGTAGAATTGAGGATGTGGTAAACACAGGCCAGGGCAGATTCAGAAGTAGTAGTAATTTGCCTTTTTAAAAAAATGATAACACTTTTTTATTAAATTCTAATTCTGTTATGTGTGTCACTACTCTTAGTTCCTAATTTGGTATTAATAGGAAATATGAATTATTATATACTTAATAAAATTTAGAATTCTGTTAAAATGCATGA
This sequence comes from Homo sapiens, assembly GCF_000001405.40. Classification (NCBI taxonomy): domain Eukaryota; kingdom Metazoa; phylum Chordata; class Mammalia; order Primates; family Hominidae; genus Homo; species Homo sapiens. The sequence continues at coordinate 17,749,757 of NC_000002.12, read as the reverse complement.
TCTCTATCAAATTTCCTATGCATCTACATGCAATAATGAACTCTTGGTTATTAATTTTTTTTTTCTTTTTGAGACGGAGTATCGCTCTGTCACCCAGGCTGGAGTGCAGTGGCACAGTCTCGGCTCACTGCAACCTCCGCCTCCTGGGTTTAAGCCATTCTTCTGCCTCAGCCTCCTGAGTAGCTGGGACTATAGGCGCGCGCCACCACGCCTGACTAATTTTTGTATTTTTAGTAGAGACGGGGTTTCACCATATTGGCCAGTCTGGTCTCAAACTCCTGACCTCGTGATCCGCCTGCCTTGGCCTCCCAAAGTGCTGGGATTACAGGCGTGAACCACCGCGCCCGGCCATTAATTTTTCTTCTTGAACTTATTATTTTATTGATAATCTTCATTGTTCCTGCTTGTATCCTGTAAGGGAGAAATGAGGTGTTCTTTAATTCTGTTTTTTTTAAATTATAAATAAGTAAAGAAATATTAAAAACTATGACGAGCTTTATGGATAAATTGAAAATCCCAGAGGAGGCTTTTTTCTCCTTTTTTTATTCCAGCATAATTAAAATATTTTTCTTTGCATCTGTAAATATGTTTCTTTAGCCTTTTGGAAACAATTTTACTATTTTAATCTGTATCTGATGCTCTAGACATTCGAATCTGTGTTTGAAAATCCATCATCATTAAATTACAAAGTGATTCCTATTTTAAAAGGTAGGATCCTTCAGTGTCTGTTAGATGCAAGTTACCGTGGCAACCTAATAGCAAACTGCAAATCCCAGGTCATGCTCAGCAAATAAAAAACATTCTCAGCAAATAAAAAACATCGTCATCACGTAGTGTTTGGGTGTACTGTCTTCTATATAGAATCTCACATTCCTTGTGAGAAGCGTATCACATTTTCCCTAGTGCGTTATCCATTAGCTTATGTCTGAGTGCTTGCTAACTGCATGATCATGTGTTAGGCATTAATAAAAACAGTTTCTAAAAGGGCATTAAATGTTGGGGACACCAAAAAGTAATGCTTTCTGTTTGCTCTTCTATAATAAATAAATTACTGCTCAGTAACTGAGAAGGGAATAGAGGGTGGTTAGCAGAGAAGAAAGTGTTGGAAAAATAATGGCCTGGTAGTATCTCAGGGAATTTAAATTAATAATAAACTGAAACCGATCTATGTTGATTCTTATTAAATATTTTGAAAAATATTTTTGATTTTAATAACAGTTTCAAAACATTAAATAATTTGTAAAAATGAAGCTGAATATTATGTAGCTGTAACTGTAATGGTAATATTGTCTTAAAAGGCATTTGTTTAGGTTAAATATCCTTCTTTGGATGGTAAGTAATGTACCCTTTAAATGGTATTCGACTTCATAATATATAAGGTTCTTCATTGACTTCAGGATAGGATAAAGTCCCAGTTATTTTCCATGGTTTACATAACAATTCAACTCTAATGTGCATGTGAATCACCTTAAGTCTTGTTAAAGTGAAGATTCTGATTCACTTGCTCTAGGGTGGGGCCTGAGATTCTGGATATCTGATAGGTGGATATCTTCCCAGGAGATGTAGATCTTGCTTGCCAGTCCTTGGACCACACTTTAAATATGAGGAGTCTACAAGTCCTTTTGTGGTCTGTTTCTTCCCTAATGCTCTAACTTTATTGCTTCCTAGCTGTGCCTTATAATTTATGACACTGTATCATGGACTTGCTTTTAGTATCCCCCTGTAGCTGCACTTTGCAAAATGTGGTGCAGGAATCCATGAGACTCTTGCAAGGGATCTACAAGGCCAAAACTGTTTTAATGATAATAGTAAGATGTTATTTGCCCTTTTCACTCTCATTCACTTATGAGTGTACAGTGGAGTTTTCCAGAGGTTACATGGCTTGTGAGATGTCATTGCTGTGACTGATGGAATATATACTGTGTGTCCCTTGTTTTAAAAGTTGCTCAGTTTTGGCCAGCCGTGATGACTCACACCTATAATCCCAGCACTTTGGGAGGCCGAGGTGGGCAGATCACTTGAGGTCAGAAGTTCGAGATCAGCCTGGCCAACATGGCAAAACCCCATGTCTACTAAAAATAAAAAATTAGCTGGGCATGGTGGCACGCACCTTAATCCCAGCTACGTGGGAGGCTGAGGCAAGAGAATCGCTTGAACCCAGGAGGTGGAGGTTGCAGTGAGCTGAGATTGTGCCACTGCACTCTAGCCTGGGAGACAGAGCAAGACTCCATCTCAAAAAAAAAAAAAAAAGAAAGAAAAAGAAAAAAAGTTGTTTAGTTTTAATTTCTAATATAATAAATATTGATAGACATAAGCAAAAGCTCTTTGAAGTCCTTTGTAAAAGAGATTACAACCTTTGAGAACTGCTTCCCTCCATATTGGACTGCGGACAAAGAGACTCAGATCTGGAACTTGGAGCTATTTCCTTAGCCACAGCAACTGCTAGGCTAGGGTGGCAGTTTCAGTTTCCCATATGGTCTCCAGTGACACTGCAGTGGGAGTGGTCTTCTCACCTCTGGGCAATGGGAAAAGTCCCGACTTTCCACTAGGCCTCCTTTGATACTAGCCAACTAGGAGAAGGAGTAAGTAACACCGTATTACTTCCTGTATGGGTGGAAATCTAGGCTCTCTAGGTGGTCTCCGCTGACACCATTATCATGGCTCCCTACTTGTCTACATAGCCTTTGACTCTACCCCAGTTAGGGTGTTGAGATGCCACCTTGTAGCCTCACTAGGGTGGAAGTCCAGACTACCCACTTGGATTTTGCTTGCATGGGTAGGGGAGCCAGGTATATACATGGTATGGAGAGGGTTGCTGTGGTCTAATATTTGGGGGATTTCAGTACATTGAGCCTAGAACTGTTCCTCATATTCTTATATCTTAGAAATTTTTGATTATGTTAGAGATTTTTGTCTCCTTTTAGCAAACAATTAAATTAGATACCTATCATTTTAGGTCTTAAATGTACTCTAAAGGAAAAAATGAAAGCAGCAGTCAAAGAGGTCATAAAGTTTAATTTTAATCATAAACTATCAGCTTTGACTGGAGATCCAGTATTCATATGTTTAGCAAAATCATGTGTAATTTAAAAGATGTTAATTTTCTAGGTTTAAATTTTGTAGTATATTGGCAAAAAATAGACAATCAACCTGGACTTTTTTTTTAGGGAAGAGTTAAAGGAAACCACTGGTGCTAAGCAATGTGCTTCAAAATATGATTCTTTGGGAAAACAACTTAAAAATTAAAAGTTTTATCTGATTACTTTATAACTTGTGAAAATTGTGCATTGCTTTGGAATAATTTCAGGAGTCACCATGCCATCTCTATGAATAGATTTAGAAAACTAGAAACCACAATTTCACAAAATCTTTTACCTTTTGTGAGTTTAGTAGTCACAACATTTAGGTAGGCTTATACTGATAAAATCTTGGCTATGAATACCTCTGAAGTAAAATCAACTAGTATAGAATATGCAGATGTTAAAGCAATACAAACTTACTATCTTACGCTTCTGTGGATTAGAAGTCCAACACAGATCTCACTGGGCTAAAATCCAGATGTCAGTAGGGCTATGTTCTGTTTTAGGGCCTCTAGGGGAAAATCTATTTCCTTGCCTTTTCCAGCATTTTTTGACTCATGTCCCTCTTCCTTAGTGCAAGATGCAAGACTAATTTACTTTAATTTTTAAGGTAAAAATGGATGGACATAGTACCTAAAGTTTAATTAGCCTTGTTAGATTTATTTTGTTGAGTTTAATATATATGGAACTTGATTTACCTCATTGTTACTATAAATATTTGTTCAGACCTGATGGCCAAAAGAAAGGAAGAAAATTTTTCCTCTCCTAAAAATGCCAAAAGGCCAAGACAAGAAGAATTGGAGGATTTTGATAAAGATGGTGACGAAGACGAATGTAAAGGTACTACTTTGGTAAGCGAAAAATTACAAAATTATGCTTTTTGATATGTTTTTCTTGTAACATTCATCATATCACATTCTGTGATAACTTAAAATCAAGAAAAAGTAATATGATTTTTTAAAAGTTGAGGTAAAATCTGTTCTGGGTAATTTTGAAGCTTATGTTAATTATTAGAAAAATTAATAGAGAAAATAAAGAACTGAATGTATAGAAATGTGAATAAAATTGACAAACTTTTAGTAAGACCAAGAAATGCAAAAAGAGAAAAGACACAAATTACCAATATCGGGAATAAAATAAGGGCTATCCACAGACCCTGCAGACATCCAAAGGGTAAGGAAATACAGTTAGCAACTCTACACACATAAATTTGACAACTTAGGTGAAGTGGACCAATCCTCAAAAAGGAAAAATTACCACAAGTCACCCAGTACGAAATAGATCATCTGAATAGCCCTATAACTACTAAGGAGATTTAATTCATATTTTTAAATTCCTATAAAAGAAATCTACAGGCCCAGTTGGTTTCACTGGAGAATTATACCAAACATTTAAAGAAGAATTAACATGAATCTACACAGTCTTTTCCAAAAATCATAAGAGAACACTTTTCAATGTATTATCTTGATGCCAAAACCAGACAATGAGGGACCCCCAAAAAAGCAAACTGTAAAACCAGTATACCTAATAGATATGGTTGCAGAAATGCTGAACAAAATATTTGCAAGGAGAATTCAGCAATGTAGTTGTTACTTGGTATTCAAGCAGGATTGGTTCACAGGACTCCGCTTCAGACCAAAATCCACTGATGCTGAAGTCCCTTATAATCTGCCCTGAGTATTCACATCTGCAGAACCCGCAGATAGGAAAAGCCAACTATATGTAAAAAGAATTATACGTCATAATTAATGGGTTTATTTTAGGTATACAAGCCTGATTTGGTATCCAAAAATCAATCATTGTGATTCACCATGTTACAGGCTAAAGAAGAAAAATCACATGATTATATCACTCAGTGCAGCAAAAGTGTTTGATAAAATTCAACACCTGTTCATGACTAAAACTCTCAGAAAAATAAGAATAGACTGGAACTTCCTCAACCTGTTAAAGAGCACTCACAAAAAAACTGACAGCTAACATTATACTTAATGGTAAAACATTGGATACTTTTCCCCAAAGATCAGGAAGAAGACAAAGGTGTTTGCTTCTGTCACTTATTCAACATAGTGCTAGAAAATCTAGCATTGCAAATAAATCAAGGAAACAGAAGGTATAGAGTTTGGAAAGGAAAAACACACACAAAAACTGTCTCTGTTTGCAGATTATGTAGATAATCCATTTGTTCATTATCTACATAAAAAATCTCAAGGAATCTACAAAAAACTCTTAAAATGAATAAATACATTCAGCAAAGTTATAGGATAAGGTATTTTTAAAATGCTTTACTTTTATATACTGGCGTTGAACACATGGACGTTAAAATTCAAAATACCATTTTCAATCACTCAAAAAAAATGAACCACTTTGGGACGATGCAAATTAAAACAACATTGAGATACCAACACACCTGATAAAATGGCAATAGTTCAAACCACTGAGAGCACCAAATGCTGACAAGAATGTGGAGCAACAGGAACTCTCATTCATTACTGGTGAGAATGTCCAGCCACTTTGGAACACACTTTGGCAGTTTCTTACAAAACCAAACATCCTCTTACCATACAGTCCAGCAGTTGAATTCCTTAGTATTTACCCAAAGGAGTTGAAAACTTACGTCCACATGAAAACCTGTGCATTCATGTTTATAACAGCTTTATTCATAATTACCAAAACTTGGAGGCAACCAAAATGTCCTTCAGTAGATAAATGGATAAATAAACTCTGGTATATCCAGACGATGCACTATTAGTATTAAGCTATTAAGCCATGAAAAGACATAGAGGAACCTTAAACGTATATTACTAAGTGACAGAAGCCAGTCAGAAAAGGCTACATGCTGTATGATTCCAACTATATGACGTTCTGAAAAAGGCATAACTATGGAGAGTTAAAAATCAGTGGTTGGTTGCTAGGGGTTGAGGAAAGGGAGGGATGAATAGGTTGAGCACCGGATTTTTAGCGCAGTAAAAATAACTGTACTATACTAAAATGGTGGAAACATGTCATTATAAATTTGTTCAAATCTGTAGAATGTACAATAATATCGAGTGAACCCTAGTACAGACTGTGGACTTGGGTTGATAATGATATGTTAGTGTGGGTTCATCATCTGTAACACATGTACCACGCTGATAGTGGATGTTGATAATGAGGGAGACTATGCATGTGTGGGGGTAGGGGGTATATAGGATATTTTTGTATCTTCCTCTCAATTTTGCTGTGAACCTAAAACTACTCTTAAAAAATTAAGTATTAAAAAATGAAATAGTTAGGTCTAAAGCTAGCAAAATATGTACAGGACTAATATGGTGAAAATTATACTGTGCTGATGAAGGGAATCAAAGAATACCTGAATAAATGGAGACACATACTTACTCACGGATTAGACAGCTCAATATAGAAATTATGTCAGTTCTCCCCCAAAATGATATGTAAATTTAAATGCAGTTCTATTAAAACCTCAGCAAGATATTTTGTAGGTATATATTTTATTCTAAAATTTAGGTGAAAAGGCAAAGGAACTAGTAAATATACCTTGGTACATCCATACCATAAAATATAGCTTAACAATAAAAAGGAGCGAACTACCGATATAGGCAACAACAGAGAATTAGGCTGAGTGGAAAAAGCCAGTCCCAAGAGGCTACATTTTGTCTGTTTCCATTTATTTAACATTTTAGAAAGTGCAAAGTTAATAGAAATGAACAGATTGTGGGTCAGGGTTAAGGTGGGATGTGGATGTGACTATAAAAGGGCAACATGTGGGATCCTGGTGATGATGGAAATATTCTGTATTTTGACTATGTCAATGTCAGTATCTTGGTTGTGATATTGTACTTTAGCTCTGCAAGATGTTACAATGGGCGGAAACTGAGTAAAGGGTACACAGGATCTCATTAAGGATTGCACGTGAATCTGTTATTATTTAAAAATAAAAATATTTTAAAAATTCGTCAACCATGATTTCCAGTGTTCTACTCATACAAGGATGTAAATGTTTTCTACTGTTTAGTAAGACGTATGTCCAGAAGAAGAGAGCCGGGGAGTTTTTAAAGAAATCTTTAAAATACCTGGAGACTTGAAAATGGTCTTCAAAAAAATTAGAAGACCTGATAAAATAAGGCTGATTTGTTCTGGTACTTAGATAACTACAAAGTGCAAGTGACTACCATTTGCCAAACTCTTGGTTAAACCATTTGTAAACCTTATCTAACTTAATGCTGATATAATATTTATAGTATAGGAAATATTATTCCTGTTTTACGGACTTGGAAACTGTATATGCTTTATACATTGCCAAAAGTCACACAGTTGCCATAATAAGTGACAAAGTCACAAGAAGAGCAGGCTTTACTTTTTAAGAACATGTACTCTGCTCTCTGAATTGAAATAGTGAATGTCAGATAGTGAATTCAGTGTTGAATGCATGGCTGGATCGTCATCTTTCAGAGGTATTCTAAATAAAGTATATAGGAAGTTTTACTATGCCAATTGGATAGCAGTTCTCAACAAAGGGGATTCTTCTCTCTCCCTTTTGCGCCCCCCAGGGACATTTAGCAATGTCTGGACATATTTTTGGTTGTCACAACTTAGGGGCAGGTGTGTGTTGCCGGCATCTAGTGGGTAGAGGCTGGGGATGCCACTAAACATTCTGCAATGCACAAGACAAACCCCCTCCACTAACAAAAAATTATCAGACCCAAAGTGTCATTGCCAATATTAAGAAACCTGGTGATATACTTTTAAATCCTTTAAAGATTTTAGAATGAGTACTGACTCATAGAAGGTTCCCATTTAATTTCATCTTATTCATTGAAGTTACCATTATTCACTTTCTGTAAATTTTTTCATTGGTGATGGTGCTAGTCTTTCTGATGCCAACAATGCTTGAATGGTTATAATGAGTGAATTAGATTGACCATTTTCTCCCATTGTTTTTTATTAATAGACTGCAGCAGAAGTTGGAATAATTGAGAGTATTCACCTAAAAAACTTCATGTGTCATTCAATGCTTGGACCTTTTAAGTTTGGTTCTAATGTCAACTTTGTTGTTGGCAACAATGGAAGTAAGTGTTTTTTCCCTTCTCGTTTGACTTTGAGCAGTACTTTGAGATTAGAGTACGTTAACTTTTTGAAATAGGTGACTATTAGTGCTAATAAGTATTTTTTCTATAGATGTATAACTTGTGGTTATGAATATTCTTGGTATTTGCTGCCAGTGTACACTTAAAGAAAATACTGAGTTAACTCTAGGTACATTACTTAAGCAATAGGGATAAACATTTCCTGCTTATGTTTTTAATCTATTTATCTTGGAATCTGTACCATAGAAGGGTAGACAAGCGATCCTCATTGCAATTGAGGCAGCCTTGTGTCTTGCCTTACTAAACATTGTAAGAGCACAAATGAAGTGACTTGGCAATCCAAACATAAAAGTAGTTCTCACCAGGTGGCCAATAAATGCTTTAAGAGGAGGTGGTATTTGTGCCAGTTCTTGAATGAAAATTATCGATTATTTAGGTCTTATTGGCAAGAAGAAGCTGAGATGTTCCAGGCAAAGATTGCTCATTAGCTAAGGTTTGGAGGAGTAGAGGTAGATGTGTATAGGAACTGGTGAATAACCTTATATGGTTTATTGTATGGTGGACAGTGGAGAGAGGCAGAAGCTGACTGTGGAGAGTCATGCTCTAGGCAATATTGTTGAGGATCTTGAATGTCATGTTAAAGAGTTTGAAGTTTTATTTTGAAGACAGTGGGGAACCAATTAGAGTTTTGTTTGTTGTTTGGTGGTTTGGGGTTTTTTTTGTTTTTTTGTTTTTTGTTTTTTTGAGACAGAGTCTCCCTCTATCGCCCAGGTTGGAGTGCAGTGGTGCGATCTCGGCTCAATGCAACCTCTGCCTCCCAGGTTCAAGCGATTCTCCTGTTTCAGCCTTGTGAGTAACTGGGATTAGCGTGCCTTCAAGCCTGGCTAATTTTTGTATTTTTAGTAGAGACGGGGTTTCACCATGTTGGCCAGGCTGATCTCAAACTCCTGAGCTCAAGTGATCCGCCCACCTCGGCTTCGCAGAGTGCTGGGATTAACAGGTGTGAGCCACTGCGCCCGGCCACAATTAAAGTTTTTGAGTAAAGGAATGGCATGGCCACAATTCTTGAAACAAACTGACCACATTGTGGACAATGGATTAGAAGGGGAAAAATACAGAAGGCAGAAAGTTTCTGGGCAGTTCTGTGGTAGGCCTGCCAAGAATGAGGTGTTGGCTGCTGGGCTGAGAAGGTACACAGGGAGAGGAGGCTTGCCAGAGTCTACCAACTGGTGACAATGCTAGAATAGGAAGCTAGGTTATGTGTAGCTCTGCAGTCCCTTTTGTTGTTTTTCTTACTTTATCATTCAGTCAGGAAGAAAGTGTCTCTAGGAGAAACAGATGGACAAGGGGATCACTGTTTTAGAGGGGTCACATGGGACAAGAAATAAATACTGATGGGTTCTGAAGTTAGGTCTTTTAACTTTTGAAACAATGATTTTTATTAATAAAACCTAATAGAAGAGGAAATAATGCAAATAGTGGAGGCAGTGCATTTGGTAATGAAGAAAAGAGAGTTAGAATAGGAACTTTACAGGCATTCCAGGAAATAAATTGGGTTAATCAGTGGTGTGCGTTAGTTACTTTGTGTTACTTTGCGGAAGATAATGGGCTAATAATAGTTGATTGGATTGGTTGAATGGAGTTCAGAAAATGGTTACCATATTCTGTGTGTGTGTGTGTGTGTGTGTGTGTGTGTGTGTGTGTGTGTGTGTGTTTACCATATTCTCTGTGTGTGTGTGTGTGTGTGTCTGTGTGTGTGTGTGTGTGTGTGTTTAAAGAGAAAGGATCTCTCTCTCCGGGTCACCCAGGCTGGACTACACTGGTGTGATCATAGCTCATTGCAGCCTTGAACTCCTGGGCTCAAGCTATCCTCTCGCCTCAGCTTTGAAGGTAGCTAGGACCACAGGCACATGCCACTATGCCTTCCTAATTTATTTATTTATTTTTTTGAGACAGAGTCTTGCTTTATTGCCCAGGCTGGAGTGCAGTGGTGCTATCTTGGCTCACTATAACCTCTACCTCCCAGGTTCAAGTAATCCTCCCACCTTAGCCTCCCAAATAGCTGGGATTACAAGTGTGCACCACCACTCCCAGCTACTTTTTGTATTTTTAGTAGAAATGGGGTTTCACTATGTTGGCCAGACTGGTCTCGAACCCCTGGCCTCAAGTGATCCACCTGCCTTGGCCTTCCGAAGTGCTGTGATTACAGGCGTGAACCACTGTGCCCGGCCAGCCTGCTTAATTTTATTTTTTGTAGTGACCAGGTGTTTCTCTGTTGCTCAGGCTGGTCTCTCTGGTCTCAGATGAGCCTCCCATCTCAGCCTCCCAAAACGCTGGGATTACAGGTATGAGCCACCATACCTAGCCCTCAGCTTGTAATATTTTAGATCTGTTAGGGTATAAAGAAGTACACTTCTCAAAGAGCTAGAAAATGAATAATATTCAAGTTACAAATAATAATTGTCAAAATATTATATAAAAACATGTATATGACTTTGCTGATTTTTTTCTACTTAAGTTCATTCATTCAACAAATAATGCAAGTACTTATTATGTGCTAATATTAGGGATACAGTATTGAATGAAAGAGACAATATTCCTGTCCACATGGAGCTTACTTTTGAGGGATGTTAACAGTGGTTTCTGGCTGGGCCCAGTGGCTCACATCTATAATCACAGCGCTTTGAGAGGCTAAGGCAGGAGGATCGCTTGAGAACCAGGAATTTGAGACCACCCTGGGCAACATACCAACACTGTGTCTCTACAAAAAAAAATTAGCCGGGCATAGTGATGTGTGCCTGTAATCCCGGCTACTGAGGAGGCTGAGGCAGGAGGATAGCTTGAGCCCAGGAGTCCGAGGTTACAGTGAGCAATGATTGTGCCAATAGAATGTCATAAAAATTAGATGAATTAATAATATATGTGTAAATAGAGGGATGATTCATTTATTAGGTTGATAGGCCAAGGTGGTACAATGAAAAGGTTGGAAAGGTGTCACAACAATTTTTACCATTTTCTTTTTAGTGGCAACAATTTGATTCCTGAAATGTACTATTTTTTTTGCTAATAATGGCAGTTCAATTTTTCCTTACATATATAACTTTTTTTTTAAGTTGTTGCTTTGCACGGGAAGAAAATTAGAGTTGAATTTTAACATTTTATTTTAAAGTGAGTCTCATTCATAAATCTTTTTGCATTACATGGTAGGAGTCAGCTTTTTCCTTTTTCTTTTAATGAATGTGATTTCTTCAACATCTGTTTCTTTAGGTGGGAAGAGTGCAGTACTCACAGCTCTCATAGTCGGTCTTGGTGGAAGAGCAGTTGCTACTAATAGAGGATCCTCTTTAAAAGGTTTTGTGAAAGATGGACAGAAGTAAGTGTTTGCTTTCTACCATCTATTTTCAATTCTTTAGTAAGAAAACAGTTACTTTAGATTCCCAGTTCACATAGACATGACTGGAAATGAAGTGCCTTCCCAGAACAGGAGCAGAGGTGTCCTATTTTTTCATTCCTTTCTTTTACCCCTTGTTGCTGGCATGGCTCACTGTTGCCTGTTACCCTCTCAAGACAGATAGCTTGTGTAACCTATTGCCCTGTGCCTGGCCATCTTGCTTCTGTTACTTGCTGAAAGAAATGGCTGTGATAAATCTATGTACCCTGTTTAACAAGTGTTTATAAACCTTGCTAATTCCTGACTATTGACCCAAACCCAGCATCAGTGAGTCCACATTGATACGATAGTAGGGAGAGCAAAATCAGTGACCAGCCAAAGTGTCCCTGCACAAAACTTCTGTCTTTAGCTCTCTAAGAAGTCCCAAAATAAGAATTCTACTTTTTGACTCTGATTTTATACCCTTTAACCAAGTAGGTTGCCAGTGAGTTTAATTTGAGGACCACAATGACAGATCTGTTTTTAGTCTATCCCAGACCCTTGGTGAATAGTCATATCACTACTCTCTTTGGCTTTACATTTATATTTCTTTTTGTCATAGGTTGCCATCACATAGCTATATGTGAATTGTCCAGTTTGCATCATCATGGACTCACTGCTTTTTGTCCACTAGCTGTTCTGTCTTCAGGCTTATCTCTTCATTCTTTTCCATACTGCCCCAGATACCTCTGAAGGGATCTTTGTTTTTCATAACAGCAAAATGCCCCAAATGCTGTCATACATCTTCTAGCATGAGGCTACTCCCATTCCTTCTTCTCATGCCCAGTGCGGAGAACTTTTGAAACTTTCATAATTAACACTAATATCTTTTTTCTCATTCAGTAGACTTTTCCTTCTGCTCAGTGTTATATCCATTTACCTTCTATTTTATTACTAAAGAATAGAACAAAGACAGGATGTGAATCAGGCCTGCAAATTTCTTATGTATTCCTCAGAAACCTTAGGAATCTTAACCTTAAGCCAAGATTCCAAATTGACTCAAAAAAAAGGAGAAAAGATACACAGAAGATTATTTCCCATGCCCTATGGCCTTGGGAAAAAACTATTTGATAACAATTTCCAGCATAGTTTCTGTCTCCACTTCATGGGGCCCCAGTCCAGCAAAGTCTTCCTCTCACCACCAACCAAAATGATGTCTGTAGCAAAAAATTAGTTATTTTAACACCTTTAAGTTAATAGTATCAACTCTATTTCAGTTCATTATATTTAAAAATTTTTTTTAATTATTATTATTTACTAGTCAATAGAATCCATGAGAAATTCTTTTTTTTGAGACAGAGTCTCACTCTGTCACCCAGGCTGAAGTGCAGTAGTACAGTCTTGGCTCACTACAACCTCTACCTCCCGGGTTCAAGTGATTCTCATGCCTCACCCTCCCAAGTAGCTGGGACTACAGCCATGCCACAACGCCTGGCTAATTTTTTTTTTTTTTTTTAGTAGCGAAGGGGCCTGGCCTCGAACTCCTGGGCTCAACTCCTGGGCTCAAGTGATCTACCTGCTTTGGCCTCCCAAAGTGCTGGAATTACAGGTGTGAGCCACCACACTCAGCCACAGTTCATTATACTTAACTATCCATTTCTTAGCTGTCCAAACAATCACCCAGTCTACTTGGCCAGATAGCACGTTGAATTTTCAGATACAGTCTTTAAGAAGAAATTATTTTTTATACACTGTTAAATGTTTTCTCAGTTAAATACTTTTTTTTCCCCCATTTGAGAAGTACTTAGACCAGGGTAGAAGCTTCTCTCTGAGACCTGTCCTCTGAATACTATTTAATAAAAAAAGACTAGCTTAAACAAATCACCGACTTCTAAGGACATGGCTGCCTGTAGAGTGAAATAGTTATATTTTATTTTTTCTTTTCCAGTACAAAATTGGGGGAAATATATTTTAAAACACAGTTAGTGACAGCTAGAAACTCTAACCTTAGCTCAGTCTTCTGTCTAAAAAACTAACGAAAAGCAGAGTTTTTCCACATCTTTATTGTTCTTATCTATCCCCTTCCTCATTGAAAACATTTGGCATTTATAAAATTTCCCTTGTTTTTATAGTCTCTGATTCTGTCATCACTTTTTTGCAGAATCAGCTTGTTGAGGTTTTTAGTTCTGCTCTTACTCTATTGCACATCTAAAGTCTATGAAGGAGTCTCACTTTGCCTGAAGAATGGTTGTCAGTGTGGTCCAGCACAAGTTTGAGGTAGTTCTAAGGACTCTATCCCTCCCTTCCCCCATCTCTAACATTATACTCGCCATTTGTGACTCTTGGGCTGTGGGCCTCCTTTCTTGGGATATTTCAACTCTCCTTGGAGATGCTTGCCTAATACTGTTAGAAGAAGCCAGAGAACTGAACCTTGAGACATTGCCTGGGACTCATCCTTCTAATTATCCACCAAGCCTTTGCAGTGACACAGGGACTGAATGAATCCTCCTAATATATCTCTTCACATGAAAACCTTTCTCAGTGACCCAAGGCCTCATGCCCTTTGCTATTTAGATTCTCTTTAAACATATACAGTTTACTGTTCCCTCCCTTGGCCTTCCTAATACCAACCCTGGTAGCCTTGGGGTCTTTGCAGTAGTCTAATTTTTGACATCAGCTGTGGCACAAGGGTTATAGAGGGACAAAAACTCATTCTCCTGTTTTATGTTCCTGATTTATTTAGTCAGGGATACAGAACTTATTACAGATGAGCTGGTGACCCAGAGAAGGAGCAGTTGTATCATCTTTTTATATGACTTTTCTTATTCCTTGTTCTCATTGATGTGCACTGCTGCCAGTTACTTCCGTGTAGATAGATTGTTCCTGAGTTGAGAAAGAAGCCAAATTCTTACTGTGGCACTGCTTGTTTGTGTTGTCATTCTGAAAAAAATCTCATAGATAGTCTCTCTTTTCACTCATTGGGCTCTATGGCTGTTGACCCAAATTGAGCATCAGCACAGACCATATCAGTGTAAAGGGGAAGACTGCAGAGCTAGTACCCAGCTCAGTTGTCTCTGTCTTCCTGCAGAAGTGGTTTTTTTTTTGTTTGTTTAGCAGTAATTATGAGGCTTTTTTATAAATGTTATTTTTTAGAAGTATTTTGCTTTCTTGTATTTATTAGATTCATATAGCAGGCCAGGCACTGTGGCTCACACTTGTAATCCTGGCACTTTCGAGCCCGAGTTGGGCGGATCACTTGAGGTCAGGAGTTCAAGACTAGCCTGGCCAACATGGCGAAACCCCGTCTCTACTAAAAATACAAAAATTAGCTGGATGTGGTGGTGGGTGCCTGTAATCTCAGCTATTGGGGAGGCTGAGGCAGGAGAATCATTTGAACCTGGGAGGCGGAGATTGCAGTGAGCCGAGATCATGCCACTGCACTCCAGCCTGGGCGACAGAGTGAGACTCTGTCTCAAAAAGAAAAAAAGAAAAGAAAATTTATATAGCAGTAGGATATCAGTGCTTCTGAAGTTCTCACTGTACTAAAGATAGTTTAAATACAAGGAGTAGCTAGGAATGAAGATAATAAAGTAGGTGTTTGGTAATCAAGAGAGGTGTTTGATAATTCAGAGAGCAAATATATGTAGTCATTTAAGAAATGTTTTCATGAGGTACTGTAACTTAATGCCAAGTAATCATACTAGCTAATGAAATAAAATATTCATTAGCTACATTATCAGAGGCCAGCCGCCCTTCCCCTCATACTTCAGTGGTTCTCAACCTTAACCGTTCATTAGAATCAACTTGGGGAGCTTTTAAAAAATCCCATTAATTGATTTTTCTGAGGCATAATCTGTCTTAATTAGGTAATATTGTTTTTATAGAAAAACCACACCAATTTATTCAAGGTAGCTCTAGGAAAGGATATTTACCATAAAGATGCAGGGATATATATTCATGAAACTGCAGAGAGGAAATACTGCGGGGTCTCTTGAGGGACCAGACTGAGACCCTGTAAGAACTGAGTCACTTCTCTCTCTGGGGCTTTCTTTTAATTGCATCTCTGGCTGTCTCTGTGTGTCTTGTCTCTGGACCTCTGTCTTCCTCTCCCTCCCATTGGTTTGTTCTGCAACTCTCCTCTGTGCACCTCCCTCACAATCCTAACTTAATTGGCTGTACTTCTGTGTGTGTGCACTATGCTCTCCTGTCTCTCCTTGTGAAAAGTGTACAGGTAAGTGAGTGTGTTTCTCTCCATCACTGTCTCAAGTATGTGTACTTCCTTATTTTTTGCTAATCTTTGTTGCTGTGTGTCTTTGCATGTGCAGGCATTTATAAGTCTTACTGTCCTAGTCTGTAGGTGTATGTGTATAAGGAAGTGATCTTATGTTTTCTGTCCCTCTGGTTCACTGCCAGTATCTGTGAGTATGTTATGTCTTTTTATTAGCCTGCCTAAGTGGTTTCCAAAGAGCTTATCTGTTCTATTCAGACTTTTCTATTTTCTTATCAGACTATAATGCCCCAAATTGGTTTCTCTAGGTCTAGAGGCTCCATAACTTTGTAGCTCCCAGGATTCACCATCTCTCGACTTCATCATGTCTTAATTTGATTTTTTAAAACCTTTTTATTTTGAAATAATTGTAGATTTACAGAAATGTTGCAAAGATAGTACAATTTTCTGTATATCCTTCACCCAATTTTCCTTAATGTAGATATCTTACGTAACTAAGATGCATTTATCAAAGCTATACAATTACCATTGGTACAATATCAACTAAACTACAGAATTCTGAAATTTTTTTAACCACATTTTCTTAGTTTGATTTTTTAAAGAAGAAAATCTGATTGCTTAGTTGGTAAAAAATTTCTATATTTAGCTCAATCCCAAGAGGATGGGATGGAAAATTATATCGTTGCTAAGCCCTTTCTGCTAGGGCACTTGTACAGAAAAGGATGGTGGAGCAACAGAGCAAACACTTCACTGTGTCTACTGTCTTAGCAGTAATTCACAATGAAGCTCATCTGGAGTATTTCTTCCTGCATTTCCCACAAATGGGAACAGTTTTAGAGTATGATTACAAATTCACAAAAGCAAGTTTGTTCTGTTAAAGGTTTCATTTAATTACCAATTAAAACACTTTTATATTAAGGGACTTTAGCATTTTGACAGATGCTCATATGAACCAGGTAAAATATCTGCTTTTATGTGTAAGAAAATTATATCTTTATTAATGTCCTTCATCAGCATCTTTGTTTTTCTACCAAGTCTTATTTTAACACAAGTTGGAGTACACAAATAAAGATTTTTTTTTTTACTCCTATAGATCTTAAAATATGCGTGGCTGTAAGTCCCTAAAACATCTTTAAAACTTTAAAAACTATAACAGAGCCTATTGGTTAGGCAGATTTATACTCATCATTTTATATGTGTGTTTAGCTGCATTGTACTATTTTAAAATATGTCTTTTTAATGCCAGTAAAGCTTTAAGAAATTTTGGGCTTTAGTTTCTTTTTTCTTTTTTTTTTTTGAGACCGAGTCTCTCTCTGTCGCCCAGGCTGGAGTGCAATGGCACGATCTCAGCTCACTGCAACCTCTGCCTCCTGGGTTCAAGCGATTCTCCTGGCTCAGCCTCCCGAGTAGCTGGGATTACAGGCATGCACTACCATGCCCGGCTAATTTTTGTATTTTTTGTAGAGATGGGGTTTCACCGTGTTGGCCAGGCTGGTGTCGAACTCCTGACCTCAAGTGATCCATCCACCTTGGCCTCGCAGAGTGCTGGGATTACAGGTGTGAGCCACTGTACCCTGCCTAGTTACACTTCTTGATATCAAATGGTTTTATTTTTTATTGCCAAGTAATTGAAAAATTAAAATTACCTTTTTTAATTCTAATCCCCTTTGAAAATGTTAACTACTTTACCATAATTCTTACTTCATCATTCTTTAAAGGCCTACTGTCAAGCATGATGCTTTATATAACTTACAGTAGTCAGGCAGTATAATTTTGATTACATGATTTTTATAGGAAAATGTATAACTTATCTACATGTCTTGAAACAACCGAAACTTAATGGTTTTTGTGCAGATGTGCTATTTCTATGATGGATAGAATAGTCAGTCAATTATTTTTTTGAAGCTTCACTTATTCTCAACTTTATTTTTTTGTTAGGCACAGTATCGTTAACGTTATGCTGTAGTGAACAATCAGTGTCAGCTGTTGATGTAAATCTAATTTGCAAATGAATTGGCCAAATTATTTGGTGGTTTTGAAAAATTTGAAAACTGTGGCAACCTAGTATTGTAATTACACTGTATCTTCATGTAACTTAGCTCAACCTCATTCTTTCAGCTCTGCAGATATCTCAATAACATTGAGGAACAGAGGAGATGATGCCTTTAAAGCCAGTGTGTATGGTAACTCTATACTTATACAGCAACACATCAGCATAGATGGAAGTCGATCTTATAAACTTAAAAGTGCAACAGGTTTGTTTTGATTCTCTTTTCATTTCTTATAAAATATTAGGAAATACTCAAAAAGAATTAGATGACTGCTGGTATTGATTGAACTATCTTCCTTGTAACATGATTGGTTGTGTGCATATATATATACACACACACACACACACGTGCATATGTTACACATGGTTGTTTTACCCCAGGATATTATAGCACCAAAAGCATGATTAGCAGAATTGGGGATTATTTGAAACAAGTTGTGCTATTTTGTTTTCACCTACAGACTTCCTATCACACCAGGGTTTTTATAGCATGTGGAAATAAATGGTTAGCAAAAGGTGCAAAATGACATAAAAGAAGAGGTGAGCATTTAGTTTTTAAAAAGAGATAGATAAGGAGCAAAATATGTTTAGCTGTGGGAACAAGATAAGCACCATTATTGCATGTGGGTACTTTTTCTTCCTCTGTACTTGTGCCATGTTCATTCATATTTGTACGTATTCAATGGTACCTTTCTTGATGATGCAATGAAAGCTAACTAATATTTATATTTTGTAAGTAACTATACATTTTTTCTGTGTTATGCCCTAGAAACAGTTTGGTTATTTCATATGTTTCTTATAACTAGGCTCCGTGGTTTCCACGAGGAAAGAAGAGCTGATTGCAATTCTTGATCATTTTAACATCCAGGTAATTGGTGAATTTGTGTTTCAGATTAATTCATACACCTTGTCATTTTTTTAGTGCGATTTCACTTGTGTAGAAAAAATTTAAATGGCCTCATATGAGTAAACTGACCACAGGAAGCATATGTGTAACTATTATCAATGAAGTTGTTTAAAATTTACTAATTCGGCCGGGTATGGTGGCTCACACCTGTAATCCCACCACTTTGGGAGACCAAGGCGGGTGGATCACCTGAGGTCAGGAGTTCAAGGCCAGCCTGGCCAACATGGTGAAACCCCATCTCTACTAAAAATACAAAAAAAAAAAAAAAATTAGCTGGGTGTGGTGGCGGGCGCCTGTAATCCTAGCTACTTGGGAGGCTGAGGCAGGAGAATCACTTGAACCCAGGAGGCAGAGGTTGCGGTGAGCCAAGATTGTGCCACTGCACTCCAGCCTGGGCAACAAGAGTGAAACTCCATCTCAAAAAAAAAAAAAAAAGAATTTATTAATTCAACACAGGACTGTCAATACATAATATAACACCTTTAATTTGATAGACCAGTCAAGAGCATTTAGTCTATACTGCTCTAGGCTAAAATTTATCTTAATAAGGATGTCAGGTTTCTTTGCTTTTTGCTGTCCTAGTCAAAATAGCATCATTGTTCCCTAAACTCAGTTGCTAAACTCCTTTTTTTTTTTTTTTCTGGATGAGTGTTTAGTTTCTAAAGTTGCTAAATTCTTAAAGAAAATTTATTCTAGAAAGATAAAGCATTTCTCTATTTTGGAGCTATTGATCACACTTGTAGGGGCCAAGGCTTAGTCCTTTCTGCTGAGATACTTTGGCTGAATTAATTGATAATAGGGTACATGTAGTTCTATAAACATTTACACAAGAATTACCTTTAGAAGACACCTAATCCAGGCTGTTTGTTTTGTAGATGAGAAACTGGGAGCCACAAAAAATAAATTTATACTTAAGGCTGTCTAGACGTGGTTACTGGTAGAACCTGGATTTGGGATCCAGGCATCCTGTTTCATTCTACTGTTCTATCCATTGTGCAATACTGCCTCGTTACAGAATTAAGAACACCAAGACTTGCCATCAAATAAAAAGAACAATTAGGGGTCTGGGTCTCTTTTCCAGTTTGGTTTAGAACAGAGGGTACAGAACTTTCTGTGATGGTGGAAGTGTCCTGTATCTATGCTATTCAGTGGGGTAACCACTAGCCACATGTGGTTCTTGACTAACTTGAAATTGTGACTAAGAAATTGAATTTTTAATGGTTTTTTTGTAAGTAGAAAAAGCCACACGTAGCAAATGTGCCTGCTGCATATCAGACAGTACAAGTTTAGGAAAAATAATTCTTAAAATCTAGAGAAAAGCAGGTACAGCAAATAAATTTCAGACTAGAATGCAGGACAATTTATTAGAATCAGGAAAACCAAAAGTTAGAGTTGAGGAATCATGGGTGTTGGGAGAATCTTGAGGGGCATTCAGTATACTGTATAAGTACTCTGTATTTACCCTGTGTAGAATCTCCACCAGGTTTTCTTGTGCAAGTGCTTGAAAGGATAATGGTGGGGTAATCACCTCTGTCCAAGGCTTCTTCCTTCTTCTGTGGACAGCTGTATTTATTAGAAAGTTTTCATTATGAGGAAAATTGAAAAAAGCCTATTTCTGTAAGCTCTCACTTCCTTGGGGAATGTAAAACATGTTATTCTCTGTTGAAATATTTAAAGATTCCTAGTCCTTTTCTTGCATGGTTTACTTAATGCATAACAAAAGATTCAGGTTCATTGTTTAAAATGCAGAAAGTCTAGAGCTGTGTGGAGCACTTGAAGAGTGGGTAGCTCAAATTGAGATATGCAGTAATGTGAAATACCCAGCAGATTTTGAAAACTTAATATAAAGGAATAACTTAGTTTTTTATATTGATTACATGTTACAATGATAATATTTTGGTTATATTTGATTAAAAATATGTTATTAAATTTCACCTATTTCTCTATATTTTTAGTGTGGCTACTAGTACATTTAAAATTGTTTGTGTGGGCTGGGTGCAGTGGCTCACATCTGTTATCCCCACACTTTGGGAGGCTGAGACGGGTGGATCACATGAGGTCAGGAGTTCAAGACCAGGCTGGCCAACATGGTGAAACCCTGTCTCTACAAAAAAACACAAAAATTAGGCAGGCATGGTGGCACATGCCTTTAGCCCCAGCTACTCAGGAGGCTGATGTGAGAGAATTGTTTGAACCCAGGAGGCAGAGGTTGCAGTGAGCTGAGATCACGCCACTGCACTCCAGCCTGGGTGACACAGCGAGACCCTGTTTCAAAAAAAAAAAAATTGTGTGTGACTTGGCGTATATTTTTCTTGGACATTGTTGGTCTAGCATAACCAGGAGGGAAGGGGATATTTAATATCTTTAAGTGTCTGATCATATTTGTCTTCTGTGCCTCCGTTTCTTATCCTCTTGCTGAAGTTTACCAGTTTTTGCTTTTTGCTTTTCTTAGGATTCTGACAGATAAAGCTACAACATTCTTTTTTTTTTTGGTTTGATTTTAGAGACTGGGTTTTGCCATGTTGCCCAGGCTAGTCTTGAACTCCTGGCCTCAAGTGATCCTCACACCTCGGCCTTGGCCTCCCAAAGTGCTGGCATGAGCCTTGGGACAGGGTCTCACTCTGTCGCCCAGGCTGGAATGCAGCAGCATGATCACGACTCCCTGCAACCTCCACCTCTCAGGCTCAAGTGATCCTCCACCTCAGCCTCCTGAGAGCTGGTACTACAGGCGGGTACCATTACACCCGGCTAATTTTTGTACTTTTTGTAGAGACGGGGTTTCACCATGTTGCCTAGGCTGGTCTTGAACTCCTGGACTCAAGCAGTCCACCTGCCTCAGCCTCCCAAAGTGCTGAGATTATAGGTATGAACCACTGTGCCTGGCCAAGATTCTTAAATAATCCCAAGAGGAGTATAACAAGTAGGAACTCCATTTCAAAAACAATGAAAAAGGTATAGAGAAATGAATATAAACTTCGGTGAAGCTTTTAATTGAAAGTTGATGTTAAGATGTTTGTTATTAGAGCTACTACTGCATTAGGTCTATTAAGAAGTCAGATGCAGTATGAAATGAAGAGCTGGGGGGGCTTTGTGAAAAAATATATGGCAGATGGAGTCTGGTCTATATAATAAGAAACATGTCACATGTAAAGTTTTGTTTATAACTACATAAATGTTTTTTATTATCTTGAAGAGAGGCCCAACATCGTACTTGAGAGAAATGTTTTAACCATTGGTATACCAACAAATTACACAATATTTATTTTGTAGACAGTGAACATGAAGGGTTTAAAGTGTTTTTCATTTATACAATAACCTTATGAAGATTATTTTTAACATGTAAACTGATTTGTTAGTAATTGAGTAATGACCCTGAATCTTTTTGAAAAAAGTTGTATTTTTTCTATACTTTTCCAATTGTACTTTGATATCTTAACTTGTTAGGTGTATTAGTCAGGGTTCTCTAGAGGAACAGAATTAATAGGAGATTTTACATATATGTGTGTGTGTGTATATATATATATATATATATAAAGAGGAGTTTTAAATATTAACTCACATGATCACAAGGTCCCACAATAGGCTGTCTGTAAGCTGAGGAGCAAGGAGAGCCAGTCCAAGTCCCAAAACTTGAAGAACTTGGAGTCTAATGTTTGAGAGCAGGAAGCATACAGTTTTGGAGAAAGATGTAGGTTGGGAGGCTAGGCCAGTCTAGTCTTTTCACGTTTTTTCCGCCTGCTTTATATTCCAACCACACTGGCAGCCAATTAGATGGTGCCCATCCAGATTAAGGATGGATCTGCCTTTCCCAGCCCACTGACTGAAATGTTAGTCTCCTTTGGCAATACCCTCGGGAACACACCCAGAATCAATACTTTGCATCCTTCAATCCAATCAGGTTTACACTCAGTAATAACCATCACGTTAGGCAAAGGTAGTTTCATTCAAGCAATGACTAGTTTCCAAAAGATAGAAATGACTTCATTATTTTCATTTGTTTTACAATATCCTCATGAAGGAATAATATGAAGAACTTCTGTAAGAAAAATAGACAATACTTGTTGTCATGATTCTCATTAGAAATAACTGAGTTGGACTGTGTTTAGTTGGAGTAACTGACTTATCCAAGGCTACATAGGAAGTTAGCAACAGAGCTCAAACAAGAACCCGAGGTGACTGACTCCTTACCATGCTAGGACTCTTCCCATTCTGCTGTCCCATGATTAACCAGTGGCATGAGGGTGATATTCTATACAGCAGGTAAGAAGTGAAAAACTTTATAATAAAAACACTTTTTCACAGGGTTCTTATGCTTGTGCCCTCATGTACTGGTAGAATATTGAATGTTAACTATACCATATATGTTGGTATAATGAAATTTTAAATTATTTTTCCTGCATTATACATTTCTAACTTTTTTTTAGTATTTTTATCCTAACGTTATAACCTTTGGCTATTGCTTGGCCTTCCTGATGGCACCATAGGTCACTTGTAATGTATGTTTCAGTTTTTACCTATCTTTAAAGCATTAAAGTAAAATATTCAAAAATGACTTTTTGTTTGTTTGAGGTGGATAATCCAGTTTCTGTTTTAACACAAGAAATGAGCAAGCAGTTCTTACAGTCTAAAAATGAAGGAGACAAATACAAAGTAAGTGGCACCAAAGTAAATATAAACCCATTTAAAAAGAATACCTTTAGGCATATTGTAAACAATATTATTGCTCACATAATGGAGGCTGAGTTTTTTTTTTCCTTAAAGCCATCTATTTAAAGTAATTCAATTTCCTAGATTAGGAAATTGTTAAGTAAGATGGGAGTATAATTTTTTTAAATCTTTGTTTTTACTTTTTGGCTTTTAATTCTTAATCTTTAAGGAAATACAGGGTAACAGTTGCTCCTACATACATAATAACTTGTAAATCTTTTTTTTTTTTTTTTTTTTTTTTTTTAAGACAGAGCCTTGCTCTGTCTTCCAGGATAGAGTGCAGTGGTGCAATCTCGGCTCACTGCAGCCTCCACCCCTCAGGTTTAAGTGATTTTCGTGCCTCAGCCTCCCAAGGAGCTGGGGTTACAAGCATGTGACAGCATGTCTAGCTAATTTTTGTATTTTTAGTAGAGATGGGGTTTCACCAGTTTGGCCAGGCTGGTCTCAAAATCCTGGCCTCAAGTGATCCACCTGCTTTGGCCTACCAAAGTGCTGGGATTACCGGTGTGAGCCACTGTGCTGTAAATCTTAAACTATTAAAAATTTTAAAAACTAACAAAATACTTGACTATACTGCTAAATATTCTGTGTAGCCTTTTGAGTGAGTTTTGGTATTTCTTACTCTAAAAATTTAAGATGTACTAAGACCAACGATGCCAGTCTTTTCAGCTGTTTTTGCTTAAAGAATGGAATTAGTGAAAATGAGCTTATTACCACACCCTGAAGTGTTTTCTTTCATGGGGTTTTAAGAGCTTTTGCAAATGAACATGTGGATGTGAGCATAGTAGGTTCAGTCAATTTGAATCTGAAATATGATGTATTCTTTTGTGTTTGTGTGATTGCTTACGTTTTTAATGTCTTTTTACATCATTGATCTAAAAGTTTTCAGAAACTAAATTTTTCTTTTTCTTTTTAACAGTTCTATGGAAGTTTACAAACTCCTAATTGCGTTTTTTTTTGTTATTGATAATAGTTCTTCATGAAAGCAACGCAACTTGAACAGATGAAGGAAGATTATTCATACATTATGGAAACGAAAGAAAGAACAAAGGAGCAGATACATCAAGGAGAAGAGGTTTGTAAACAGTTAATGTAAATCTTTTTGAGATCAGCCAAATTCTTATAGTACTTACAGTAAATGATATTGTAAAACTATGTGTCTGTATATTTATATAAAACTAGTAATATTTTTATAGCACTCTGAAGTATATGCAATGTAGTGTTTATATTCCGGGTATTAATTAGCTATTACTTTTTTATTTTGTAATAATGACTGTGTACATGTCTTACTTTCTCTATTAGATTATAAGATAGAGAACAGGGCAGTATCTTACATACTTATCCTCTGATAGTATGACTAATGGGTTCCACAATAAGGTATGGTAGTTTAAGTAGTTTAAAACCTATAAGTAGTTTAAAAACTGCAATATTTCTTCTGCTGGGATAATAAGCACAAGCTTCAAGCTGTTTTTAAACATAGTATGCATTTATAATTATATACCGTAATCTACAAATCATAGTAATTATAACTCTAGTAAAATGTTAACATTCCTTAAGCAACTGGTAGGTTAGTAGCAGCTATGACATCCTTACTCACCAGGCTTGGCAGCTTGCAAATTTGCTTGCGCTTTAAATCACTCATGCCAGCCATGACTTACTTCAATTTGTTTTTAAATCTGTTATATTTTGTTCTTATACTTTCTTCAGATTCCTGAAGATCCAACTTTCTGTGTGATAATCAGAGACCTCAAAATTTTAAGGCTTACATTATAGCTGTTTATCCAGCATATTAAGTCCCACCAACTTTATGTAATTCCATATCTTGTTCATTTGTTAGTTTTATATAACCAATTGAGTTTTCATCAACTTTGTAGCTTGTCCTTTTGAGGCAGGATTATACTAATGATTAAAGTCAAATTCATTATGTTATACTGACCTTTTTACTTCACATTTTTGAGGAATACATATTTTAAGTTAGGTCTATAGTTAGGTGGTTCATTAAATGAAAACTCAAAAATCAAGGATGAGTATATTTATTTTTATTTCCCACATTATCCTTTCAAACCTGGGTTATGTGGTGGTGTTTAAGGAGTTACTATAAACCACAAAAATACTAAAGCACACTTTCTTGGAATGTCAGTGTTGTTATTGGGGAAGGGAAATATTTGTATATTCAAACAAACTGTACCTACTATATATTACATTTATTATTTTTAATATAATTAATCAGGACTTGAAATAAATTTGTTTGTTTCAGACACTTGGGATTAAACACTTATTTTCTCCATGGTATACAAAGTATACCAGTAACAATTAAAGATATTGTAATTATGAAGTATAAGGAGCACTTCCCTAAATTATGTAGGAGAATTCCTGATGCATAATATGCACTCAATAAGAACTTTTCTCTTAATTGGTGAAATACCCTGTATTCTCAAAATAAACTCTGGGTTTGAATAATTAAATCTTTAAGAAATAGCATGTAAAGGCTAGAAACTAGAATAATCATTCAGTCAATATTAAGTTCTTATCATGTGCCTTGTAGCATTGTGCTTTGGCCATGGTCATATAGTGACAGATAAATAGGATTCTTGGGATCATAGACCTAATTATTCAGCAGAAAACATAGATGGTAAATAATTTGAGTATCGTGAGGACTACTAAAAGAGATGTAGACTAGACAACAGCACTTAATAGGGTACTGGCAGTGTCAGGGACAGTCATGATGGGGGAGTTATTAAGGAAGTGATGCCTAAGAAGAAAACTGAAGGATACCAGGCAAAGGATGGTGAAAGCAAGGAAGGATGTTCTAAGAGATAGCATGGTTAAAGCCTCAGGGGCAAGAAAGCATGTGTGCTTTTAAAAAACTGGAAGAATTCCAGATTGGCTAGAGTGTAAAACACAGGTGTGAGAGATGAGAGGCCAGGTTGTGGAGGACCTTATAAAATTTAGGGGGCAGTAGAAGACATGAAAATGGATGACTTCATTAATTGTGTATTTTCGGTAGATTACTCTGCTGTACAAGAGAATGAACTGCTATAAGGAGAGAAGAGATGTGGAAAGATTGATTAAGAAGGCATTATCATTGTCCAAAGAGATGATGATGGCTTAAGTTAAGGATATTGGTAGTAGTAAGAGAGAGAACTTTGAAATGATCTAGGCAGATGTTGTAGTGGACATGGAGAAGTAAAGTTAAGACAGAGGCATCAAAGGTGACTGAATGACCTCCAGATTAATTACTTTAGTAGTACAGTAAGTTTATTGAGATAGGAAGTTTGGGAAGAAAAGCCAGTTTTTCTTTTTTTTTCCTTTCTTTTCTTTTTTTTTTTTTTAAGAAAGCTGAATTATATTTTGAACACATTAATTTTGAGGTGCTTATAATAAAAGCATCCAAGTGGAAATGTGAAGTGGGAAGTTGGATATGTAAATTAAGAATACAGAAGTAAGTCTGGTCTCAATAAAAATTTGGGAGTTGTCAGTGTGCTATTAGTATATAAGCCAAAATAATAATTTAGATTGCTGAGATAGGGGAAAAGTGGGCCCAGGCCTGAACCGTGAGAAATTCTCATAGAAGCCATGAGAAGCCAAGGGCAGAGAGATTTTGAGAAGGAACCAGTCATGACTGTGAGATATACCATGTGGTCCGACACTACATGAATTGACAAAACTCACTGTATTTAATGACATAATCTTCATAGATGACTATGGCAAGGTGGGTTTCAGTAGCAGTGAAAACAGCCAGATATGTGGAACTGGAAAATGTGAGGAGATGGAGGAGATAGAGACAATTTTCATGAAACCTGGATAGAAAGGGAAGAAGAATTTTAGAGGAGGAGGTGGTGCCAAGGGATGGGTATTGGTGGTTTTGTTTGTTAAGTTGGAAAGATGAGCAAGTAGGGATGAACATGAGTCATGAAGAGGGTAAAGTGGAAACAAAGATGAAAAGATGTGATGGAAAATCAGTGGATTTAGACCTTTGAGAAGATAGAAAAGGGGTAGAATCCAAGATATAGGTAGAGGATGGTATGGGTCTTAAATATGAGGCCACCTCTCTTGTTGCAAAAGGAAGGGATGGCTGCTTTAGATTTGTAGATTGTTGAGGGAGTTTCTGTCTGATGGCTTCTAATTGTCTAAGCTGGAGAGAGGGAATGAATGAGGGAATATGGTGGCAGGGTGTATGAGGTGTATGAGGTTTGAAGAGAATGATAATAGATTGAAAGAATTTTGAAAATGGGAAAGTGCATTAGATAGGGAAACAAAGTAAGGTCTACAGTGTTCAGGCCCAAGTTGAATTTGGTAAGCATGGATGAAGGGTAGAGGCTGTCTACCCAGGTGGACAGAATATGAAGTCCATAAGCTACAGAAATTGTTTGAATATCACAGTATTTGATATTTTTAATTAATTATTAAACGTGAACTCAGTTCCTGGCTAACATGATGAAACCCCGTCTCTACCAAAAATACAAAAATTAGCTGGGTGTGGTGGTGCATGCCTGTAGTCCCAGCTACTTGGGAGGCTGAGGCAGGAGAATCGCTTGAACCTGGGAGGTGGAGGTTGCAGTGAGCCGAGATTGTGCCACTGCACTCCAGCCTGGTAACAGAGTGAGACTCTGTCTCAAAAAAAAAAAAAAAGTGAACTTAGTTAAGAAAATTATAACTTGTTTGATTTTCAGAAATAAATTTCTTCTCATCCTTACATTCTCTTTGGAATGCCTATTGACTCTGCTTTGAGGAACAGACCATCATGTCTATCAGATAGGGAATAAAGAGGGAAAATGGGAAAGTGAGTTTTGGGATTTCTCTATATTTGTGTAGTCTTGAACCTTTAATTCCTTTGCTCTTCATCTGAAGAGTATTTGGCCATTTTTATAGTGCAGAAATTCACAAAATTATTGGACTTACTAAAAGTATACCAAAGAATCAAGAATAATTTTAAAAAATAGAAGTTATTTTTAAACGAATATTTATGTAGTACTTGTTTAGGCATTGTTTTTAAAAGAAATAGATTTGCAAAAATGTGTTTTTTCAACATTAATAAAAAATACGTCCGTTCTGTTTTCTTTTTTTAAGCGGCTTACTGAACTAAAGCGCCAGTGTGTAGAGAAAGAGGAACGTTTTCAAAGTATTGCTGGTTTAAGTACAATGAAGACTAATTTAGAGTCCTTGAAACATGAAATGGCTTGGGCAGTGGTAATTATCACTTAATTACTTGTTCACGTATCTATGTGATATGCAGAATGTATTTGGTTATTATTGTTAATCTGATCAATTTGCTATATAATTTCTTTCTTAGGTCAATGAAATTGAAAAACAATTGAATGCCATCAGAGATAATATCAAAATTGGAGAAGATCGTGCTGCTAGACTTGACAGGAAAATGGAAGAACAGCAGGTAATTACAGTTTTTAAATGCAGATTTAATAGGTTGAATCATATGAAATTACAGATATTAGACTATTTATGACCCACCAAACCATCAGTTTCAGACAGTATATTTGTCTATATTTGAATTGATTGCTTAGGTGAAATAGACCTAAGCTTGTTTTCAAGGCCTGTTGTGGTGACTCTCTTTTGAAAAGAGTACTCTATCCTTGATAAACCTGTCAGAGGCTAGGGCTCTAGAACTCATGCATATTGTCAGTGGAACTTTGTTACTGACAAGACATAGAAGAAGAGCATGAAGCTTTTACTCTTTGGTTCATTAAGGAGTTGAAACACAAAAAGACCTGAGAAATAAAGGGGTGCTAGAATAATATAAATTAGAACCACATTAAAGGTAAGTATCAGAAAGTATGAGAACTCAGAACTGAAAACAATGCCCAGAGATTGCTAAGGGAACTGAGATTTATGGTCCAGAACCAAGATGGCATGTCAGAGGATTTCATATAGATGGAAGGCAAGTAGGATTCATTGTTAGGTCTGTTAAGGTTAATTTCAGCCTGACATCTAAGAGTGCAGGTAGAAACTACCCTATCTAAAATTCAAGAAAGTCATAAAAGTCTTCCACACGGGCCTAGAGGTTACAGAAGTTGAGTGTTGAGTAAAGGCAGTCATTCTCTGTTGAGGCTTTCCATGTGGACCCTTTAACATTCAGCAGATCCACTCTTTATACTCACTCTTTCTGTTTTGAACAGCTTTATTGAGATATCATTCATATACCACATAATTCACCCATTTAAAGTGTATAATTCACTGGGTTTTAGTATACTCACAAGGTTGAGCAGCCAGAACTGTGGGGCTCCTCATGCTGTAATGCCAGAAGTAGAACTCCTAGTTTTTTCCTTCTTTACTCCCCTTCCCCCGCAAATGTACTCAATGTGCCAGTGTAGCTTACTTACCTCTTAGCATTTTCTCTACTTTGCTTAGGAAATTTCTTTCTGGCCCCCAAGCTTGGCTGTGGTATAGAATGTAATCTTTCCTAGCTTGCTTTTTCCTGTCTGCCTCCAAGATAAGCAGATTGATCTTTTTTTTCTTTTAAGGGTTATGACATTAATTCATCAGAGGTAATATATGAGTATGTAAAAATAGGTAAAGATAGGACACTTAGCGATTTCTGGGCTAAGTTTCTTACTCCCTCTTCAGGCAGTAAGTGGAATTTCAACCCTTTCCACCTCTCACCTTAAATTTTCATTTCTGAAAGAATATTCTGAAATTTTCACCAAGTATTTTTCTCTTCTCACCCTCAATTCTCAGCTTATCATCAGGTAAGGCCTTAAATACTTTCCTCCTCAAGCATTTCCCAGTCTAAAATGGAATCCAGTCTGCGTAATAGATGCTCACCTCTTTTTTAAATGGGAAAGGAGGATCATAAGGCTAGGTTATGTTTACTTTTGTAGGCCTTTTTCTCCGTTTAAGCATTTGCATACTCTATGTTGTAATTGGCAAATTTCTGGAGGGTAAAGACTATCTTATTTTATCTTTATATCCTTACCACCTTGTCTTACATAAAGCCTTTCACATTGTGTGTGCTTGATTATTGCTTGTAGAATGACTGTTAAATGGAAGGTTTCTGAAGAAACAGTGTCTAAAGCAGACTTTAAACTTTTGTTAATTTAAAACTGAAAAATAATATGAATTATGTTTAGTTTATATAAAACCTGGATCCAGCTTTCATTTTTATTAAAAAAACAATTCCTCTACTCATTGTCCTTGGGTGCTTTCATGTTTTAATGGCAGAGTTGAATTGTTTTAGGAGAGACCATGTGGCCCACAAAGCCTGAAGTGTGCACTATCTAGCTCCTTGTAGAAAGGTTTGCTGACCCCGATCGAAATAGTTCTCATATTTGTTCCTTCTAATCAGTCCCTATTGCCAGCATCCCAGTTTGGTCCCTAATTGTCTTTGTTCCATAATATATTAACTTCTTACTGAAATCTTTTCCTTTGATTTTTCTGTCTACCCTGTGTTCCAAGTGCTTCCAGAGTAATCTAACATGCAGACTTAGGAGATAAGAGACAGACTTAGGTCGTCTTCCTGTTGTCAAGAAGATTAAGTTGTAAGCTGTTCATTGTAGAATGCGAGGCCCTTCTACCCCTTCATCTCGTCTCCTGCCATTATCCTTTCAATTTAAGCTCTAGCAATATTTAATTTCTAAAGTATTAATACCTTTGTACATGCTCTTTCATCTGCCTCTAACACCTTCCTCAACTTATTTCCTGGTACACTTAGATTAATTTTTAAAATCTCAGCTCAAAATACTACTTGCTCTTTGAAGGCATTCCTGACTTTTTCTGGCCAACCTCTGGTTTGTTTCTCTGTGCTACCACAATTAAAAATAAATGTACCCTACTTTAGTATTATTGTATACAGAATGTATCATCAGTTTGTGTTCTGTTTTTCTGCTAAATTATATCTCTCTCTTTTGTGTTATCTGAGGACATTTGTTATCATGTCTTTGTATCCCAAGAGGATAACACATTTGTTGGATAACTAACTGTGGGTTAAGATCAAATTATATTATAGTATTTTATATAATGTTATGTTATGTTTATTTGCCTGATGTCTTGAGTGAAGTTAAATTTATTATTGGTATATGAACTATAGATAATTATTTTTTAAAATTCTCTCTATTGAAGAAAAAATATACTTCAATAATGTTATTTTCTTAAAGGTCAGACTTAATGAGGCAGAACAAAAGTACAAGGATATTCAAGACAAACTAGAAAAGATTAGTGAAGAGACAAATGCACGAGCACCAGAATGTATGGCATTGAAAGCAGATGTTGTTGCTAAGAAAAGGGCCTATAATGAAGCTGAGGTGAGATAAATTTTCTAAACTGGAATTTTAAAAGCCACACAGCAAATATAAAGGCTGTTCTTCTATCCTTTTTTATTATATTTTATTTTTTTTGAAATAGTCTTGCTCTGTCACCCAGGCTGGAGTGCTATGGCGCCATCACGGCTCACTGTAGCCTCTTATCTCCTGGGCACACGCTATCCTCCCACCTCGGCCACCTGAGTAGCTGGGACTACAGACATCTGTCACCACAGCTGGCTAAATTTTTTTGTATTTCTTGTAGAGACAGGATTTCACCACAATATCCAGGCTGGTCTTGAACTCTTGGCCTCAAGTGATTTACCTGCCTCAGCCTCCCAAAGTGCTGGGATTACATGTGTGAACCTCTGCACCCAGCCTCTTCTATTTTTTTAATTATTATTTTTCTGAGACAGAGTCTCACCCTGTCACCCAGGCTGGAGTGCAGTGGCGCAATCTCAGCTCACTGCAACCTCTGCCTCCTGGGTTTAAGCGATTTTCCTGCCTCAGTCTCCTGAGTACCTGGGACTATAGGGGCGTGCCACCACGCCCAGCTAATTTTTCGTATTTTTAGTAGAGACGGGGTTTCACCATGTTAGCCAGGGTGGTCTAGATCTCCTGACCTCGTGATCCGCCCACCTTGGCCTCCCAAAGTGCTGGGATTACAGGCGTGAGCCACAGCACCTGGCCTTCTATTTTTTAAAGTAGAGATTTTGTACCTGAGTTGAAATTAGTGATGCTTTGAGATTTTAAAAAATGTAATGGTTTCAAATGGCCATTTTGTGCTTCATTTAAAAAATATATTCCTGTATATATTCAGCCTCTGAAGATTTGACAAAAGTGGACGTGAATGGGATATTTGTGTTTTCATTTTTGTAAAGTGTGTCTAATTTTTTTGGTTAGGTTTTATATAACCGATCCTTAAACGAATATAAAGCATTAAAGAAAGATGATGAGCAGCTTTGTAAACGAATTGAAGAGCTGAAAAAAAGGTAGGGTAGTTACTTTGAAATTTTCATGGCTATCCCATTTTGTAATAAAGTAAGGTAGATGCATTGGAGTATTATATTTTATGTATTGTTGTTAATGGAATTTTATTACATCGGTTTGTGTTCTTTAAATGTTAGGCTGTTCATTGAACTAACATTTTTCACTTTGGGTTATTTACTGTTAGTACTGACCAATCTTTGGAACCTGAACGGTTGGAAAGACAAAAAAAAATATCTTGGTTAAAAGAGAGAGTAAAGGCCTTTCAAAATCAAGAAAATTCAGTCAATCAAGAGATCGAACAGTTTCAGCAAGCCATAGAAAAGGACAAAGAAGAACATGGCAAAATTAAGTAAGTTGCAACATCCTTAGAATGATTTTTTTCAATTACTTTTACATCATATAGTTTTGTTCTTGTATGAAGAGAGCAAATATGGTTGTTTCTTCTACATAATAAGGGATCTTTTTAAAAAGATTTTATTTTTATGTTAAATACTTTGCAGAGCAGGGCTAACTCATTGGCAGTGCACCTACAGCCAGCTGGATCTTTTAAAATCACTTTTCAAGACTTTTCTTATAGTTGTAGAGTTGAACAATTTCTGGGATTCCTAGCCCATCATTGTTGCATTACTTTTTTTATGCCAAGTTTTGAGGACTCCAGACTGTTTTTCTCTGGTAACACAATTATTTTCAAATAAATAATTCTGCTTTTGGTTTTTAGGGTAGCTAGCTGGGTCGTTCACTGGGATGTAGGTGTTATGGGCAAAGGTTAAATGTTTCTGTAAAACTATCACATATATGTTCTGTTTTTCTGCTTTTGTTTTTTAGGAGAGAAGAATTAGATGTGAAGCATGCACTGAGCTACAATCAGAGGCAACTGAAAGAATTGAAAGATAGTAAAACTGATCGACTCAAAAGATTTGGCCCTAATGTTCCAGCTCTTCTTGAAGCCATAGATGATGCTTATAGACAAGGACATTTTACCTATAAACCTGTAGGCCCTTTAGGTATTTGTCTTAATTTAGCGAGGTTATAATAAACTTTAGAAATAAGTTTTTATTTTCAGAACGATTGAATGAAGTTTTCGAAATAAAATGATTTCATTTAAAATAATGAAATTATATAAAGCTTTGTAGCTTTCGTTTTATATTTTTAAAGCATAAAATATCCGAAAGAAAGAGAACTTTGGAAAAGGAAAAGTAATCATAGAGTTGAATGATTTGATTCTTGTTTTTCTGAATAAATGAATGAATAAGTAAATGAACTAATGTAATATAATTGATTATTCAGAAAAAACCAGTAACATCAAGATATAGTTGAAGGAGCAGTTAACTGAATTTTGGTAATCTTTTTAAAATGACTTTTCTTTCTTAGTTTCTATTTTGGTTGGGCAGCATGATTTCTAAGTTCTCTTCCAACTGTAAAATCTGTGGTTACTTCACTCTTACATATACATGGTACTTAAAAAATTTTTTTTAGTCACGTGTTCTTGGGGGGTTATCTTTAATTCTGAAAATCATTAGGTGAAAATGCTTATAAATATATTTTGTTAGTAAAGTATTGCATTTAAGTATTGTAGTAATATCTCTTTTAAATGATACATACCTTTATACCAGGATCCATTTCAAAGGATGAGGCTTTTTTTTTTCGCATCCCATTAAGGACTTTGAAAATCGTTTGATTTTCAGAACCCCATTGGAAGGCTAGAATAGTATAAACTGAACATAGAAAAGCCACCGTTGATTTACATTAGAGTGGGACAATTTTTTTCACAGGATTTGGTGGATTTTCTCTCCATTGTATCCTATGGGTATAGGGGATTTCCCATTCAGTTAAAATATTATTTAAACTGCTTTATATAAAAGTATGTTAAATCATTTATAAACTATGATTAAATGATCTGTAAAGTCATTTAAACTGCTTTATATAAAAATATAAGTCATTTATATGCTATAATTAAAGAGGAGGATGTTAATATTTCAAAATAAGTATTTATGAGCCCTTCTGTAATTTTCTCTCACTTTTAGGAGCTTGCATTCATCTTCGGGACCCAGAACTTGCTTTGGCTATTGAATCTTGCTTAAAAGGGCTTCTGCAGGCCTATTGTTGCCATAATCATGCTGATGAAAGGGTCCTTCAGGCACTCATGAAAAGGTTTTATTTACCAGGGACCTCACGGCCACCGATAATAGTTTCTGAGTTTCGGAATGAGATATATGATGTAAGACACAGGTAAGGCATTAGTAATTGAATATGTTTCTGGCTTTGCTTAATCATATGCAAGATTGGAAAGAGTTAAAACACTTTTAATGTTAATCATATCTTTACCACTGATTTGTAAAATTTCATCAAGCCACTTTAATTTCTGTCTAGGTATTAGTTCTGGGCATTAGAGAAACATAGATAAATACTCCCTACCATTGAAGTTCTTATATGTGGGAGACATTACAGGGAAACAGATGTAGTATGGCTTAGAAATTACACCAGTGAGGAAAATGATATGACCAATTTAAGAGGGAGGGGCCTGAGGAAGAACATTGGCACCCATTACACACAGTTAAATTCTGAAGGTGTTTCACAGAATCCGTGAAGAGCAGTAATTGTGTTCTTTGATGACCTTAACAAGTCTTTTCAAGGGAGCTCAGTACCCAAACTGGCTTCTTTGCTAACTACTGGCTAATACTTTAAAAATGAATGTAGGCCAGGCACAGGGGCTCATGCCTGTAATCCCAGCACTTTGGTAGGCCAAGGCGGGCAGATTGCTTGAGCTCAGGAGTTCAAGACGAGCCTGGGCAACTTGGGGAGACCTGTCTACCAAAAATACAAAAAAATAGCCAGGCTTGGTCGTGTGTGCCTGTGGTCCCAGCTACTTGGAAGGCTGAGGTGGGAGAATCGCTTGAGCCTAGGAGGTGGAGGTTGTAGTGATACAGCGAGCCAAGGTCATGCCACTGCACTCCAGCTTGGGTGAAGAATGAGACTGTGTCTCAAAAAAAAAAAAAACAAAAAAAACAAAAAATGAATGTATATATCTATTCCCAGATGACATTTTAAAATTTCTTTTCTCTCCCATCTCCACTTTTTAAAATAAACCTTCTTTTTAATTAAGTCTAGTGCTATGTCTCTCATATTTGGTAAATTAGTGTGTGTAATTAACTCATGTTAATAGGTAGATCAAGGAAGAATTCAGAGAGGAGTTGAGAAATCATCAGTCTTTTAACTGATGAGTTTGTCAAGTGATAGAAAAAGTTAATTGCCTTGTAGGCAAATAGAATTCTGTGTGCAAAATGCGTGGAAGCATGACATTGGGAGTTATTCTGCAAAAAATAGCATTTGCATTTTTGATAGGAAGAAACAGATAGCACAGAGATTTGGGCAAAATCAATAAAATTTGTTAATTGAATGCAAGAGAAGGAAAAATCAGGATGACTCCTAGGTTTCTGGTTAGAGTGACTAGCTGAAGGATGCCATCAGTTGTGAGGAATGTCCTTCTTGAATCTGAACTGTCATTTTAGGACCAAAGAGAATAGTCCTGGCCATTCTGGTGGGGCCTGCTCTGTGAACTGACACAAAGACTCTGAAGAAGAGTGCCTGGCACTGCCTTGCTGGCACATTGTGTGTCCCAGCCTGTGCTTCTAATCACTTAGCCACGAAACACATGTGACAAAGGATCCAGTGTATGTGTCATAATGCCAGTTTTCTTGGAAGTAGGTGAGTTTATGTGCTGAGAACAAGGGCCTCAGGAGTTGCTAGGAGGTACCTTCTTTAAGGGTTTAGATTGGCTACCAAGGAGAATGAGAGAGGAAGCTGACTCGAAGTCTGCTTAAGATACAAAAGCCTAGTGGCTGCAGGATTTTTCACTAATAATGTTTCTTTAGAGATGTGAGTGGAGGGAGAGTCTGTACTGTTAGATAAACATTAGAGTTTTTTAGAGTGGGTAGGTACTGCAGAAAGGGAAAAGGGAAGCAGTTGAGTGTTTTGTTGACAAACTAGTTTAAAGAAAGAGAGGCCTACGAGAAAGTGTTTAGACCCACCTCAGTGAAGTTAGAGAATATGCTTAAATGCATGATAAGTCTGGAAGGATAGGAGGTTGTGGTAAGAGTGAGAAATTCAAGTTGAATGGAACAGGTCTAGGGGATGACAAAGTCCATGTTTTGGCTTCAGGAGCAGGTAGCTGAAACACAAGTTGTTGGAGTTGTGGAAGAAACTAGATTCTAATCCTTTTGGGTGTTGACAGGATATTGACAAGAGTCTTGAGTATGTCTAACATTCTGTTAACTTTACCTGCCTTGTAAACATTTTGAAGGGGTGATTTTTTTCTGTGTTTGAAGAAATTTTTCGGTATGAATTATGGTTCAAATGCTAAATTTAAAAACTGGCTATATTATTTTAATGTGGAAAATAATAGTAAAATATTATTAGGGTATTATAATGCATCAGATACATAGGACTCATTTCAGTCATTTAGGCTTACGCTAGATAACCTTAACAGAGGTACCTAGGAAGATGCCTAGCTCGTAAGGAGTATTCAGAAAATGTGCTTTCCTTTCCTGTAAAGATGGTCTTGTTTCTTCTTTTCAGAAGGACATAGAAGCTACTAAACTACTACTCCTGCTATTATGCCTGCATTTGTACATCTTGCCCCCATCTCAAGAGAGATTCTTTCTGTCTGAGGCTAGTCTACTTGTGCCTTGAATCACATACTTTCTTGCCTGACTCTATTAACCATTTAAAAAAATTATTTCAGCCCTCTCCTGAGCCTTAAACTTTCCTGTTAAATTTTCTCTCTGTTTTAAACATGATAGGTCTCTGATTTGCGTTTCTTTTAAAAATACACCTCTCCTAGGGGAGACTGCATTCACTCATAGACTTACCACTCTTGGTTCCTAAATGTTAATTGCATTCTCCAGTTATTTCCTTGTTGCCGAATCCGGTTGATATTTACCTTCTCTCAAGCATTAGATACTATTAAATACACCTTCCTTCAAACTTCATATTCCTTTTGTTACTATGACACCATTTTCTTGGTTCTCATACTCTTTAGGTGTT
The DNA here is from genome assembly GCF_000001405.40 of Homo sapiens. Classification (NCBI taxonomy): domain Eukaryota; kingdom Metazoa; phylum Chordata; class Mammalia; order Primates; family Hominidae; genus Homo; species Homo sapiens. The sequence goes on along the minus strand of NC_000002.12, from coordinate 17,712,046 downwards.
TCTCAGCCTATTTTATGGGCTTTTCTTCATCTCCTTCTGGTGCTCCGCACAGCTCTCTTCATAGTCTGTTATAACTTCTCACTTTATATCTTCTTATATTTGGAGAAATTAAAAATACACCAAATTTAGACCAGTCACGGTGGCTCACACCTGTAATCCCAGCACTTTGGGAGGCCGAATCGCGTGGATCATTTGATCCCAGGCATTTAAGACCAGCCTGGGTAATGTGGTGAAACGCCGTTTCTACCTAAGATACAAAAATAAACTGAGCATGGTGCTATGTGCCTGTGGTCCCAGCTACTCAGGAGCCTGAGGTGGGAGGATCACTGGAGCCCTGGAAGTCAAGGCTGCAGTGGGCTGTGATCGTGCCACTGCACTCCAGGTGACAGAGGGAGGTCCTGTCTCAAAAAAATAAAATAAAAATACACCAAATTTTAATCATGTTTTTTTCCTATATTTTAACTTAGTGGTGTTTTTCCTTTTACTTGACTTTAGAAATCACATCTTTTTATCAAATGATTTAAGTATAATTAGGATGAAAAAAAATCATTTTGTCCTGTAACTCCGCTTACCAGTGAGGCCTATTATACTTGACTAGATTTTCTGTGCACTTTTTCCTTTGTCAGTATGTTTTGTTTAGACTTTCTGCTTAACATTGTTTGTGAACCTGTGTCCTATTATCTTCTCCTTGTCCCCTGTCACCAACATCTCATTACTTATATTCCTTTCTACTTTTGGCTCTGCTAGACTAATATTGTATCCTCCCTCAACATACTATTAATTGTAATATAAGCCAGTATGAGGTAAATCCCAGGGACGAATAGCAAAAGGAAGAGGTAGTTGTGACTTGGCGCTTTAGAGGAAACTGGTAGTAACAGCTTCATGTAATGATGGCCTTTGGCTGCCCGAAAATGGTGACTCCTTCCTAGTGTCAAAACCTGTGCTCTCAACAGGCTAGCGAGAGTCTACATTTCACCAGAACTGCCTACCACGTCCTCCCCTCTTAGACTCCTACTCCCTTTCTTTATCTCCTTGTTCCGTACTTTGTTTCATTGACTGCCTGACGTTTCTAGAGCACCCATACCCTATTCTTTCTTATCCTTGTTTTTTTTCCACCTGAACTCTGTCCTAAAAAGCCATTTACCTGCTACTGTCACTTTTCTCTGCTTCCCTTTTCAGGAAAAACTCAAAGGAGTTGTCTGTTTCTCTAATTTCTTTCTACCTTCTTTCTTGAACCTTCTCCAGTTAGACTTTATAATTTCACCACATACCAAAACAGCTCTTATCAAGGCATCAGCAAGCCTCACTTCGCTTAACTCAATTGACTCAAAGTCATTACTCTTCACTAATTTTACTTACTGGCAGTATTTGCCCTTGATCCTTTCATTCTTCCTGAAACACTTTTTCACTTGGCCCAAGGACCTCACTCTTCTCATTTTCCTAATTCTCTAGGTGTTCGTTTTTGGTATCTTTTGCTTCTTCCTCCTCACAGCTGACTGTACCAGTGCTCCAGAACTCTTCTTGGTATGCACTTCTCCCTAGGTGAACTCATCTGATTGCATGGCTTTACAGATCATACATTGATGACTGAAACTGTGTTTGTAGGTTGCCTTTTTCTTCTGAACTCTATAATATAATATACTTAATATATATTTTTCACTTAGATGCCCAATAAGCATTTCAAACTTACCATGTCTGAAAGCCATACTCCCGATTTCCACCCCAAAACCTGCACTTTCAGTAATCTTCTCCATCTTCATTTCTCTATTGCAGAGTCATTCTTGACTCCTTTCTGCTACCCCACATCCTACTGGCTGTACTTCAGAAATATATCCAAGATCTGACCACTTGTGTGGTGACTCTACTGGCTCACGCCATCATCATGTTTCCCTTGAGAATTGCACAGGCTGATCTCCCTGCTTCTGGTTACTTGGCACCACAGTCTCAGTACAGCAGCCAACGTAAAGTCAGGTCATGTTGTGCCTCTGCTCAAAGGACTCTAAACTTTGCTGTTTTCCTTATCACAGGGCTGACTGTGACCTCTAGGCCTGGATGATCTGTCCTCTCACCATCTTTCTTATCCTGTCTCTGGAAACACTTCCCTCCCTGATCTGCCTACTGTGGCAATCTGTCTCCTTGCTTCTCTGACACACCTTTTAGGGTCTTTGCGATTGCTCTTCCCTCTGTCTGAAATGGTCTTCTAAGGTTACTTATGTGACTATATCATTTCCTCAGGTATCTGCCCAGTGTTACCTTAGTGAGGCTTTTTCTCGTCTTTTTTTGTGTGTGTAAAAAAGCACCATAAGCTGCCTTCCCTTCTTTTTCTTTATTCTCTGTCTTCCTTCAAAAAAATGTAAGCTCCATGAACAGGGTGTAGTCTGTTTTGTATACTGCTCCCTTTATCCTCTGGAACAGCACCTGGCACAGAGTAGGTGCTCACTAAATATGTGTTGAATTAATGGATGAATAGGTATAAAACATGTATGCAAAGATACTTTGTTTTGGAATTCTAGGACTAGGAAAGCACTAAGAATGCTACCACCATCTTTTCCTCCTCAGCCATTCATTGCTCCTGTACCTCCTATTCTTAGTATGTTCATTTTTCAGTGCTATTGATAGCTCACATGTTTACATTTTAGTTGAAAGATTGTCTCTTTCATGAGCCCAAATTACAATTCATAAGAATATCTTTTCTTTCATATTTCCTCTGTGTTGGTAATAAACTTTACTTCAGTTTTTCTTTTCTCATATCAGGGAAAAGATTGTTTAGCTATTTATAATGAATTTTAAATAATTGACTTATGTATGATAACTGTATGAGATTTAAGGAAATTGTAATTATTAATTATAGTAGGCAGCAGGGCATATTGATTAAGAATCTGGACTCTAGAGCTGAGCTGCCTGGGTTAAATCCTAGCCCAGTTACATAAGTAGCTTCATGACGTTGGGGAACATACTCAACTCTCTGAAGCATCCTTATCTGAAAAAAATGTGGAGAGAATAATACTATTTATCTTATGTGGTTGTTATGAGGATTGAATGAGCTAATATTTGTAACATGCTTATAACAGTGCCTAGCACATAGTATTATATAAATGCTAAATAAATAAACCTATACAGCTATGTTTTCAAATGTTACCAGATATTTGATATTGTCTTGTTATTTATAATTTCCCCCATTACAAATATATATGGAAATATATATACTCTTATATATATATACACAATTTTCATATGTATATATTTATAATTAAAATTTGCTAAGTTAATCCTTCTGTATTTTTGTCTCCTAGAGCTGCTTATCATCCAGACTTTCCAACAGTTCTGACAGCTTTAGAAATAGATAATGCGGTTGTGGCAAATAGCCTAATTGACATGAGAGGCATAGAGACAGTGCTACTAATCAAAGTAAGACCTCCAGATCTTTGCTGTATTTGATGTTATTGTTAAATTTTTAAAACTGAAGATAATTATATAAATTCCTATTCCCCTTTTATCATAGAGTTGCTGATGTGTTTCACTATTGTACTTTTACCTGATAGGAAAATCTGTAGGATAATATAGAAACTGGTTGATTTGTACGTTTTCTGCCCCATGGAACTTTATAATTTTCAGCTGTTCTTTATAAAATCATTTCACAAATGCATATTATTCTTTTGGTGCATGGTGCTATAACTTTTTTTGTTCATTTTTGTTTGGCTGCCAAATTTATTTTTTATTTGCCCTTACAGATATCTGTATTATTCTACTTAAATGAAATATTTTGCTTGATATCTTATGACTTCTTTTTCATATAACTTTGTACTCTGTTAGATAAATCAATATTTACTATTTATCTGTGTAGGTGTTTTTATGTGCTTGTTAGATTAGATCACCATATTTTGTTTCCTCTGTTGGCATAAATTTGCTGAGAAGGGACAAGGTGATTTATATTGTCTCGTTATTTAAAACAAATCTGTAATCAAGACAAAAGTCTTTTTTCTCATTGATAGATGCTAAGAAGGGTCTAGATAACTCAAATGTGTGTGTGTGTGTGTGTGTGTGTGTGTATATATATACATATACATATGTTCATATTGTAATTATTTGTGGGTTCTACTCATATTTTAGAATGGTACTTGAAAAAAAATAATGAAGCGTTGTTGTAAAGGTCTGTCCCCAGAGAGGTTGATTAGGCCTTAATTAATCTAATCTTCTTTTACTTCCTCCAGGGCTTAAATATTTCCAGACTTTCCCTACATATTTCAGTATGTTAATCTTTTATTGGAATTTGCTATTCATTCATATCTTTTCTAGGGTATAAAAGTCATTTAGAAAAAATAATTACTATGAACTGGTCTAAAGTCTATATTTTCACATTAAAAAGCACTTAGAATAGTTTTAACTTTTAAATAGATAGCAATATGTGAATTTAAAAATAAATATACACCAATTTGTCATGAAGCATTGTTTACTAAACTGTTTTAAGACTTTTTAAATAGTTTTCATTCTTCTAACCTTGAAAGTTTTTAAAATTCTTATATTTAACTTTATGAAATTATTTGAATGTTTTAAAAAGAATACTTGAATCATATTAAAATAATAAGGACGAGTAACATTTTGAAATTCTGTACATCAGAAAAATTTTCACATCGTCTTAAAAAATTTATTTTCTTCTATTCTTTTAGAATAATTCTGTAGCTCGTGCAGTAATGCAGTCCCAAAAGCCACCCAAAAATTGTAGAGAAGCTTTTACTGCTGATGGTGATCAAGTTTTTGCAGGACGTTATTATTCATCTGAAAATACAAGACCTAAGTTCCTAAGCAGAGATGTGGATTCTGAAATAAGGTTAGAGTCAAGTTTAGCTTTACTGTATCATTCCCACTGCTTCCTTGGGGGTTCATTTTCTTTCATATTACTCTTTTAGTGGTTGTTTCAGTGAGGACGTGAGTAATCTATCTCAGTGCTTGGTCTTAAAACATCACTTAGCTAGTCATAGAATTCGAGGTTGACAGTTATCTTGCATCATCACTTTAACAACGTCATTCAGGACTGATAATCCAGAACGTATTCCCTCAACTGGATCATTTGTACACTATTTGTTACTTGTCCTCAAGGAGATAGGAGCTTGACTCAATGTAAATCAGCTACATCACTGTGCTCACTGTTTAGTTTTGCCTATTTGTCTCAGAGAGGATACAGCAGACTGGTTTACATTCTGGCTCAAGCTCCTTATAATGTCCCTGATTGGTACTTTGAGGTGCACAGTTCTAGAAAGAAGATCAACTGACATGATTAGAACACATGCCTAGGAAAATACAGCTACTAGAATAGACAAATTGAGAAGTTAAACGAAAAACTATTAAGAGATTCATGAGCATGCAAAAAGAAATTTTGGTATCAAAAAACAACCCCATGATTTCTTAACTGAATTCATTCAGTTGATGAATTGATGGTTTGGGCCTGAATTAATGACTTAGAAGATCTTCAGTAGAAGAACTTAGGACTTAAGTAAAAGAAATATCTAAGACAACTGAGCAGGAAAAAAAAAAAAGAATTATAAATGACTTGTATGTGTAGGGGAAATGAGAGTTTTGTTGAAATAGATTTCTTCTAGTCATTTTTATGTGATTATGAGAGCAGAATAAAGGAAAATAACCATAATGGATGTTGGAAAGTTTAGTAAAACAATTAGCAATAGAAAAAGTTGAATGACTAGCACCTTGGTGTTCTGGCACTTGCTTTTGTTTATTATCTCAATGCAGTTTTCAGTTACAAAAGTATACATAATGTGGAAGCAAACCCTTAGAATGATTACCAGCGTGGTTCATAAAAAAAATTACCTGTGAATTTTTGAATTGTTAAAATGCTATAACATTTTAATCTAATCTTCAGAAGTATGCTCTTTAAAATTTTATTCTTTTATTTGTTCTTTCAAACAACAAATACTTAATGGGTATCTAATACTCCAGGCACTAATCAAGGCACAAGACACATCAGGAAACAAAGTATTAATATACAAAATTTCTCTACTGGATCTTAAATTTAGGGGAAGATAGACTATAAATGAATACTAGGTTAGGTGGTGATCAGTGCTGTGGAGACAAATAAAGCATAGTGTGGGGCAAGAGAGTGACGAGTATACTATTTTAGATAGGCTGTCAGGAAAGATGTATTCATCCCACACAAACAACTCACATACTCAGCTCAGGCTTAATATATTTTTCATTAGGTAACATGTTCTCTATGTAAAAACTCAGTAAAAAAAACTAAGGAGGAACACTGTATGAAAATGTATAGGAATTAGTTTTACCCAGTAAAAACAAAGTTGTAAAATTTATTAGTTTTATTAAAGTTACATTGATTGCTTAAATTTATTCTATATGTTCAGAAAAATTGTATAATGACAATATTGTCTTGCTTATTTTGTTGGTTTTCATTTTTGGCTTAGGCTGTAGTTTCCGAAGTTTGTTTACTTGGCAATTTTTTTTGTTTTTTTGAGACAGGGTCTCACTCTGTCACCTAGGCTAGAGTGCAGTGGCAGGATCTTGGCTCACTGCAGCCTCTGCCTCCGGTGTTCAAGTGATTCCTGTGCCTCAGCCACCTGAGTACCTGGGAGTACAGGCAAGTGCCACCATGCCCAACTAATGTTTGTGGAGACAGGGTTTCACCATATTGACAAGGCTGGTCTCAAACTCCTGGCTTCAAGTGGTCTACCCACCTCCACCTCCTAAAGTGCTGAGATTACAGGGGTAAGCCACCGCACCCAGCCTGGCAATTTATTTTTTTAATTTTAATTTTATTTTTTTGAGACAGGGTCTCACTCTGTCGATCAGGCTGGAGTGCAGTGGTGCAATCTTGGCTCACTGCAACCTCCACCTCCTGGGTTCAAGCTATTTTCCTGCCTCAGCCTCCCGAGAAGCTGGGACTACAGGCACGTGCCACCACACCCGGCTAATTTCTGCACTTTTTGGTAGAGACAAGGTTTCACCATATTGATCAGGCTGGTCTCGAACTCCTGACCTCAAGTGATCTGCCCACCTCAGCCTCCCAAAGTGCTGAGATTAGAGGCGTGAGCCACCGTGCCCAGCTGCAATTTTTTTTTTTTTAGCAAAATTACTATTTGTTAATAAAAGTTTAGGTTTATATATGATAAAATAAATATTTCCTATTAAATCCTGAGGACCCATATTAAATTTTTGCACCTGGCCCCATTTTTATCAGAAATTGCGCTATTCTCTTCCTTTCCACATTTTTATCATTTATTCAGCTAACATTTATTGAGCCTTTTTTTGTAATTTAAAAATTCTAGCAAGGTAGCACAGTTGTTTTACATACCAGTAAATGTTGTATATACTATTATTTTATGTACCAGTAAAAAGGAAATAAATGCTAATTGAACCACAAACTGCAAAATGGTTTCAGATTTCAGAGATGTTAAAATGTGGAGAAATATTCATCTTAGTGGAATATGGCCAGCTCCAGGGAATATCCCCCAGACCAGGGAAAAGTTGTTCTTAACTGCAAAGGTAGTTCTCTTCCACCAAGCACAAAGCTTTGGAAGACAGATACTTGGATTAGTGAGGAAAAGATCAGTTCTGAAGCCAGTTGACTCTGCTGTATGGAGACTCATTTTTATGAATTTGGAATCTGGTACTTTATTTATTCTCCATATCTTCTTATTGTCGTCCTCTTCTTCCCCTTCACTACTCACACATTTGTTGCGTTTATTCACCAACAGAAGTATTAAGCTATTAGTTTTATCTGTTTTAATCACTCTCTGTGCCTTTTTGTATTTCTTTTTATCTTCTCCCCTAGTTGGTCCAGCTGATGAAAAATTTAGAGAATACGATTCAGTTATCTCTTCTCCCAGATTAACTCTTATGCTCCTGTAGTACTATGGATATATAATCTAGTGTCCTGTTCACATTTTAATGTGATAGTTTATTTCCTGGTTTTTTTTTTTTGGAGTTACATCTTAATTCTGTTTCTACTTCTGTCTACCACTATGCATAATACTGGCACACATAAGTCATAAGTATATTTGACCCTTGAACAGTGCAGAGGTTAGGGGCACTGACCCCCAATGCAGTCAAAGTCTATATAACTTTTAACTCCCCAAAAACTTAATAGCCTACTGTTGACTGGAAGCCTTACTGATAATATAAATAGCCGATTAATATATATTTTAGATGTTATAGGTATTATGTACTGTATTCTTATAATACAGTATATACAGTACAGTATATTATACAATATACTACAAATACAGTATATGATACCATACAGTATGTCATATATTCTTACAATACAGTTAGCTACAGAAAAGAGTATGTTAAAATCATAAGGAAGAGAAAATATATTTACTATTAATTAAATAAAAGTAGATCATCATTAAGGTCTTTATCCTTATTGTCTTCACATTGAATAAGCTGAGGAAAAGGAGTGGTTGGTCTTACTGTCTCAGGGGCGGCAGAGGCAGAAGAAAATCTGTGTATAAGTGGACCCACATATTTCAAACCCTGCATTGTTCAAGAGTCAACTCTACTTGTTAAGGAAATAAGTAAAACTTGATTCCTGTTTAGAATGTTTTTTGAAATGTCTGCAATAGATTTTCATGATTAATAGCTTGGTAGGATTATAGAACTGGTTTAACTGAAAAGGATTTTGCACATAACTTACTATAAATAAGGCTTTCTTTGTAAAGGTCTAAAGTATTTGTAATATTGAGAAAAAGATTTAAAGTATTTTCTATCTTCTCCTTTCCTATCAAGTGACTTGGAGAATGAGGTTGAAAATAAGACGGCCCAGATATTAAATCTTCAGCAACATTTATCTGCCCTTGAAAAAGATATTAAACACAATGAGGAACTTCTTAAAAGGTGCCAACTACATTATAAAGAACTAAAGGTAAAAAAATAATAATAATAAACCTTCTTTTGTTTTTTTCAACTTACTACTACGAAGTTGATTTTAAGATCCCATTATTGACTCCAAGCAATTCTCAAACCTTTTGGCCTCAAGCCCCTTTACACTCATCAAAGAGCTTTCATTTATGTGGGTATATCTGTCAACGTTTACATTTTTAAAAATTAAAACAAAATTTAAGAATATTTATTAATTCATGTATTAGTCTGTTTTCACACTGCTGATAAAGACGTACCCAAGACTGGGTAATTAATAAAGAAAAAGAGGTTTAATGGACTGAGAGTTTCACATGGTTGGGGAGGCCTCACAATCATGGCGGAAGGCAAAAGGCACATCTTACGTGGCGGCAGCCATGAGAGAAAGAGAGCCAAGCAAAAGGGGAAACGCCTTATAAAACCATCAAATCTCATGAGACTTACTCACTACCACAAGAACAGTAGGGGGGAAGCTGCCTCCATGGTTCAATTATCTCCCATCAGGTCCCTCCCACAACACATGGGATTATGGGAACTTAAATTCAAGGTGAGATCTGGGTAGGGACACAGCCAAACCATATCAATTCATTTAAAAATAGTAATAAACTTAGTTAACAGAAATATTTTTTATTTAAAAAAACAAAGCTTTGAAACCAAAAAGATTTTGTGAGAAGATTGGAATATTTTTTAAGTATCTGATGTCCAAGTTTAATAAAATTCAATTAAATAGTTATATCAGTTTTTGCATTCAGTCTGTTGTGGTATTACAAATCATATATTTATAAACTTTATATATACTCATGAGAAAATGCTAATAAAAGTGGCAAATAATGTCTAATTGTTTTTATGAAAATAGTTTTGGCTTCACAGACCATCTGAAGGATATCAGAAACCCCCACAGCTTACTTGGATCATATTTTGAAAACCACTGGATTAGAATAATCATTCCATAACTTGAGACTTTGGATGTTTCAGAAAAATTTTTCTCGTTGGACTCAACAGTGCCATCATTTAAAATGCTAAGATGGATTACTTACATCTCTTTTGCATGGGAATGGATTAGTATATAAGAATGATATGGCAGAATTTATACGTAATTTCCTTTGGTTGATTTAATACTAATGTACCCCTTTCATTAATTATGGAATCCTTCTGTATCATCATTATAGAGCTTTGTAGATTAATGAATCCTTTCCAAGGTTTTCGGTTTAAATTTTTTTTTATGTTACTAAAATCCAAATACTTTTCTTTTAGATGAAAATAAGAAAAAATATTTCTGAAATTCGGGAACTTGAGAACATAGAAGAACACCAGTCTGTAGATATTGCAACTTTGGTAAAATACTTTTTTTCAATTTAAATGTAATATTAAAGGGTAAAGCCACCATTTAGGTTAATGGCATCAACTCAGCTTTTTTAGAAAGTTCTTTTAATTGAAGCTACTCTTTATGATTGCTGTCTCCATTCACCAAGAAGGTAAAAACTACCTGGTATACAGCCTTCATATTTTTTAATGTTTTGTGTATATATAACTTTCATGCATAATAATTGATTTTGTCTCCTATCACATGGAAAAAAACTTTACCAAAACTTAATTGTATTTCTAAACAAGGGCCCATCAAACCCTGCTGTTGAGCATAGTGTTTTTCACATAGGCACTCTCAGAGTTCAGCAGTATCAATATGAATGGGCACAGATGTCAGGATCATCTTTTAGTCAGTTCTAGTTGGTGTCTTGTTTTTTTTCTTTTTTTCAAATCAGTATTTTTCATTTTAAATCAACGCATTTTTTACTGTAATCTTTTTTTCGGGAATCTGTTTATGACACTTAGCTTTTTCTGAGTTGCAGTAAACAGTGAATTAGATAAATGGCACAGTTGTGTTAAAGTGAATAAATATTTATCGAGTGTCTGCTCTGTATCAGGAAGCATATTAACTGCTAAGGAATACAGCAGTGCGCAAAATGGAATAAGTCTCAGTGCTAGTGAAGCTTTACCCTGATTAGAATTTGTCTCCATTTTTTACTAGTAGTCTTTTCACTTTCTGCTTTTTATTTTTCTGCTTTAATTCCTTTTTTTGATAGACTAAATTTTTGTATTATTATTATTATTATTATTATTATTATTATTATTTTGAGACGGAGTATCACTCTTGTTGCCCAGGCTGAAGTGCAGTGGTGCAATCTTGGCTCACTGCAACCTCTGCCTCCTGGGTTCAAGCAATTCTCCTGCCTCAACCTCCCAAGTAGCTGGGATTACACAGGCATGTACCACCACACCCGGCTAATTTTTTATTTAGTAAAGACAGGCTTTCACCCTGTTGGTCAGGCTGGTCTCAAACTCCTGTCCTTAGGTGATCCACCCGTGTCGGCCTCCCAAAGTGCTGGGATTACACGCATGAGCCACTGCACCTGGCCAACTAAATTTCTTAAACATATGGATAATATCTTATTTATGTTTGTTTACTTAGCATCTAACATATTCTCTGGCACAAGATATATATTGTATAGTTTGGAAAAAATGAATAGAATGAAAGTCATTCTTTTTGATTATGATCTTAAGCAGAATATTGTCTCCTAAATATCATCCCTTCTGATTTTTCAGCTTGTTTTCCTCTACTTCCTAATTTACCATTAAGAGTATAAAAATATTCTAGTGTTCTATTTGTATTTGATCTGATTTGCATATAGCCTATAGTTTCTCCTCTCTCAGAATTATTTTTATGTTTCTTCTATTTGAAAACTTAAAGTATTTTAATTAACCTTATATGCTGTTTAAATTTTATCAGGAAGATGAAGCTCAGGAAAATAAAAGCAAAATGAAAATGGTTGAGGAACATATGGAGCAACAAAAAGAAAATATGGAGCATCTTAAAAGTCTGAAAATAGAAGCAGAAAATAAGTATGATGCAATTAAATTCAAAATTAATCAACTATCGGAGCTAGCAGACCCACTTAAGGTATATATTTTTGGTACTGTGTTACGTATGTATTTTATGTTTTAGTTTTATATCCACATGTACTCTATGGATATTGGCCTAAAAGAATTTTTGGTTAAATGTAAATAGCATAAAAATTGAATATAAAGAATGGTGGGAACCAAACTTTCATCATTAGATCAATTAGTATTAAACACTTCTGTTCATGGCTTTAGGAGAATAAATCACCAAATTTCCATTTCTCCTAGAGGATTATAGCTTTTTTTTTTCACCTTTTTATGATTTTTAAAAATCAGAACCAGGAGCAGAGACGTCTCGTACGTGTACAATGTCTCTGTGCTTGCTTGTTGTCCCAGCTTTGCTTCAATAACTCAAAGATTAGTTGCTGTAAAAGCCAACTTGAAATAAAGTACTACTCATCTCTTGTTTGTCAGCTATCTCAGTTATGTTTCAGGCTGAATTCAATTGACTTTATTTTTAGCACATACTTTTTGAGACAAAATTGACCATGAAGTTTTTCATAATATTCACTTGTTATTCCTCATAAATCTGATCAACAGAGAAAAAATAAACTAAAGAAAAACAAATAGACTGAAACAAACAAACAGCATCTTAGGGACCTGTGAAACTATAACAGAATAGCTGACATTTGTATTGTTGGAGTCTTAGAAAGTGAAGGAAAAGAGGGCATGACTGAAAAAGTACTTAAAAAAGTAATGGCTAAACACTTCCCAAATTTGGCAAAAAGCATAAACTTACAGATTAAAGAATGTACGTAAACCAAAAACAAGATAAACCCAAAGTAATCTGCAATAAGACACATTACAGTGAAACTTCTGGAAATTAAAGAAAAGGTCTTACAGATAGCAAGAGAAAACCTTATATAGAAAAGGATTTTTGTGTGACAGCATATTTCTCATCAGAAACCATGGAGACCAGATGGAAGTGGCACATTTTTCAAGTGCGAAATGACCTGTCAACCCTGTGTCCACCAAAAATATTTCCAAGCAATAAAGGAAAAATTCAAGATATTCTCAGATAAAGGCAAACTTAGAGAATTTGTTAGGAAAAATAAAAGGGGGAATCTTGGAACATCAGGAAGGAAAAAAAATGAGATAAAAATAGGAAAAAATGCAATAGACTTTACTTCTTGAGTTTTAAAAATTATGTTTAGAAGGCTAGCAAAAATTATAATATCTGAGATAATTCTAAATGTATGTAGAGGAGGTATTTAGGACCATTATATTTAAAATGGGGAAAAGAAAAGGGATACAAAAGGGAGGTAAGATTTCTATCCTTCTCAAACTGGTAAAATAATTATGCCAGGAGACTGTGATGTTTGGTGTATATAATGTAATACCTACAGCAGCTACTAAAAAAGCTATACAAGGAGATGCACTAAAACGTACTACAGATAAATCGAGATGGAATCCTTAATGTATGTTGGAGTAACCACATGGGGCAGGAAAGAGAAGACAGATGAACAACAGAATACAACAAATAAAATGACAGACTTAAATTTAGACTTACTTGTCTAAATAAACAAAAGACAGATATGGACAGAGTAGATTAAAACATGACTATATGCTCTCTATAAATAGCTCACTTCAAATACAGCCATATAGGCAGGTTGAAAGTAAAAGGATGGAAAATGGTATATCTTGCAAATAATAATCAATGGAAAACAAGAGTAGCTATATTAAAATCAGATGAAGTGGACTTCAAAATAAAATTACCAGAGACAAAAAAGGACATTACGTAATGACAAAAGGTTCAGTCCACCAAAAATACATAGCAATTCTAAATATGTGTGCAACAAATATTAGAGCTGTAACATAAGGGAAGCAAAATCTTATAGAACTTCCTCAATAATTGATAGAGCAACTATACCAAAAATGAACAAGGATATAGAAAAACTCAACAGGATCTAATCATTATTTATATATTGTTCAGTAAAATTTATCCATTTAAAGTGTATAATTCAATGATTTTTCATGTATTCAGAGTTGTGTAACCATTTCCACCATTTTAGAACATTTTCATCGCCTAATAAAGAAACCCGTACTGATTAACAGACACTCCCAATTCTCTCCTGTTCCCATCCCCTGGCAAAAACAAATCTACTTTCTATCTCTATAGATTGCCTATTCCAGATATTTCATATGAGTAGAATCATATAGTATGTGGTCTTTTGTTACTGGCTCCTTCAACTTAGCATAATGTTTTCAAGTTTCATCCAGGTTGTAGCATGTGTCAGAACTTTATTACTTTTTATTGCCTAGTCATGTTCACATTTATGCATTCATCAATTGATGGACATTTGGGTGCTGCTGCTGCGAACATTCATGTACAAGTTTTTGTATAGATATGTATTATCATTTGTCTCAGATACCTAGGAATGGAATTACTAAGCTATGTGCTTACACTTCATTTTGAAGAACTTTGAAACTTTTCCAAAGTGACTGTACCATTTAATGTTCTCACCAACAGTGTTTGAATGTCCCAATTTCTCCACATCCTTATCAACACTGGTTATTTTCTGCCTTTTTAATTTTAACCATGCTAGTGAGTGAGAAGTGGTATCTCATTGTGATTTTGATTTGCATTTTCCTTATGGCTAATACTCTTGGTAGTTTTCATGTTCTTATTGGCCATTTGTTTATCTTTGGGGAAATGTCTTTTTAAATCTTTGCCCGTTTTACAGTTGGGTTCTGAGTCTTTTATTTTTGAGTTGTAAGAGTTCTTTATATATTCTGGATATGTGTTGGCTGTTTTTCATGGTATAGTAAATGTTTTAATTCATTTTTCAATTATTCCTAGTATATAGATAGATGACTGAATTTTGTATTGACCTGTATCCAGTGACCTTTCTAAACTCACTTATAGTTTTGAAGTTCTTCTTTTGGAATTTATGTGCCATCATCTGTTTTTGTATAAATACAGTATTACCCTTTTTTTTTTCTAATTGTTATGCTTTCTATTTCCTTTTATTTTAACTGAACTATCCAGAACCTCCAACAACTGTTGACCTTTAGTACATTGTTGAATAGACGCCATGAGACTGGAAGTCCTTACCTTGCTCTTGTTCTTAGAAAGAAAGCATTCTATATTTCATCATGAAGTAATAGCTACTATTTGTGTTTTAATTGTCCTGTTTTTGTTGTTCTTCATACTTTCCCTCTTTATGTCCTTCCTTTGAGATTACCAAGTAATTATGAGTGTTCCTTTATCTCTTCTCCCAGTTTTTTAGCCATACCTCTTGTTTTATTTTTCCAGTGGTGGCCGTGCATTATAGTATGCATCTTTACCTTATATCTACTACTGTTTGTTTTTAAAGTGATCTTGGGATAGCTTCTTTCCAGTTGTATTTTATGCTCAAAATTGTGAAGTTATACCAGATGTGACTAAATAAATCAGCGTTAAATTTTTTCACATCCTTGCTTTTTCCCGAACCCACCCTTTTTAAAACCAGGTATCCTTTTTCAGGTGTCCTCTGTAAATACCTAACACTTGCATTGTTTTAAGTTTTTAAAGGCTAATGTGGATTCCCCCAAAAACACCTAGTTTATTAGAATAAAACTGAAAGTACCATAATATATGGGGAATTCAGATAAGAATTTGAATTTAATGTGACTTCCTAATTTGGGAAACTCCTCACTTCTATTCAGACACATATGGATATAATAACACTTGCCTCTTCAAACAGCATAATCCTAGCCACTTTACCGAGTTGTTTATTATCTTTATACCTATGCTGGAAATTTTTTTAAAACAATCTTTTATTCTGGCTTTGTTCAAACAGGATGAATTAAACCTTGCTGATTCTGAAGTGGATAACCAAAAACGAGGGAAACGACATTATGAAGAAAAACAAAAAGAACACTTGGATACCTTAAATAAAAAGAAACGAGAACTGGATATGAAAGAGAAAGAACTAGAGGTTTTTCACCATTTTTTTCAAGTTATTTTGTTTTCAGCCTTAGCCATGATTATTAAAGTGTGTTTTCCCTAATGTCATGTTTCTAAAAACAGAAAAGTTGTCTGAATTTCTGTTTCATATAGAGTAATAGGTGTTTGGGTGAATCAACAGAAGAGGCTTAGGGACCCTCAGAGTGTGAGGACTTAAATAGGCAAGACTCTGACAGTCCTGTATTATGCCTCTGAGTGCTTTAGAAAGTAGCGCTGTCTTTCAGCTAACATAGCTCCTTAGATGCCCACCTTGGCAAGCGGATAGCCCTTGAGTGTCCGGAAAAGGCACCCCTTCCAGTGAGTAGTTGGGCTGTGGGCCGGGCTAGATTTTAGCTCCTACGAGACATGTCTATTGGCAATTCTAAGCAGTGACCCGGTGTTTAGAGGAGAATAAATTGAAGGCAACCTTGTCCTAACCAGAACAGATGGATTCCAATTTTGCATTTATATCTTAAGGAAAATGATCTAAACTCTGTAATTCATTTTCTTACTTGTTTTCCTCATTTGTTTAAGAATAATACAGAAAGTTGTGAATATAAAAAAGTACTATGTGTAAAAGTGCCTTGTATTCTTTACCCCATGAGGGTCTTTGTTTGTGTTTTTAATACCATTGGTGCTCAGAGTCAACCCTAAAGGATGTGGAAACCTACATCTCACCTCGATGCCCTGGGTAGCAAGCTTTTCGTAACTGCTGCATTAAATTTGTTTCACTAGGAAGTTGTGGAGATCTTGCACCTTATTAGTTACACACAGCAATGCAGTTTTCTCTTGAGGTCATTACTCTGGACTTTATCTTCAATATAAAACTTAGATAAATATAAATAACATTGATATTAAATGTAATTAAAATACATTTCTTAAAAATGAGTTCAGAATTTTACTTTGCAGATTTTGGCACAAGTAGTATAATGAATTGTTATATCAAAGAAGAGTTTTAAAGATATAAACATCTACTTTCTTAGGAGAAAATGTCACAAGCAAGACAAATCTGCCCAGAGCGTATAGAAGTAGAAAAATCTGCATCAATTCTGGACAAAGAAATTAATCGATTAAGGCAGAAGATACAGGCAGAACATGCTAGTCATGGAGATCGAGAGGAAATAATGAGGTAAGTAGCTGGTAGCTTTTCTGCTTTACCACATTATTCATGCATATCATCAAGACAAAAAATGAAAAACATATACATGTCTTAAATTTGAATGAAGTGTTACTATAGCAAATAGTTATAGCTGAAGTAGTCCTTTATATGTGTATTATTCTCAATAAATAGTAACCTTTTTTCTTCTGAACTATTACAAAACTCATTATGGAATTTCATTTTAACATAAATGCTTTCGTGTATCTATAAGGTTCATATAGACATGAAAATGTTCAACTTCATAAGCAATGAAAGAAATGGAAATCAAAACAGAAGCCATTTTTCAAATACATCAAATTGAATAGGATGAAAATAACACTAATATTCTAGGTCAGTAAGGTTCAATGAAATGGATATTTTCATATTACTGATAAAAACAGATGCTCTTGATAATTAGAGCACAGGTTCTGAAGAAAGAGTATCTTGATTTAAATTGCATTTCCACCACCTATTTATGTGACTTTGGCAAATTAGCTATCTCTCTGAACTTTAATTTTCTCATTCACAAAATGGGGATTGTTCTGAAGATTAAATGAAATGATCCATAAACAATATGTGGGAAATATAGTATATTAGTTGTTACCATTAATGTCTTTCTGAAAAGCATTTAGTGGTATGTCAACATATTTTGTCAAAATTTTAATTGACCACCTAATTTGTTGTTATTACATACTCCAGTGGGGTACATATGGCATTTTGATACATACATACGATGTGTAATGATCAAATCAGAGTATTTAGGATCTTCATCACCTCGAACATTTATTATGTCTTTATGTTGGGAACATTTCAAATCTCCTTACATTGTTGTTAACTAAAGTCACCCTACTGTGCTATCAAACAGCAGAACTTATTCTATCTAACTGCGTGGTTGTACCCATTAACCAATCTCTTTTAATTACCCCTCCCATCCCACTGACACACACCCTTTGCAGCCTCTGGTGCCTCATTCAACTCTACCTCCATGAAGTCAACTCTTTTAGCTCCCACATATGAATGAGAATATGCAAGATTTGTTGTTCTGTGCCTGGCTTATTTCACTTAATACAATGACCTCCAGTTCCATCTGTGTTGCTGTAAATGACAGGATTTCATTCTTTTTTTTTTTTTTTTTTTTTTTTGAGATGGAGTTTTGCTCCTCTTGCCCAGGCTGGAGTGCAATGGCGTGATCTCGGCTCACTGCAGCCTCTGTCCCCCGGGTTCAAGCGATTCTCCTGTCTCAGCCTCCTGAGTAGCTGGGATTACAGACAGGCACATGCCACGACGCCCATCTAATTTTTGTATTTTTAGTGGAGACCGGGTTTCATCATATTGGTCAGGCTGATCTTGAACTGCTGATCTCAGATGATCTGTCTGCCTCTGACTCCCAAAGTGCTGAGATTACAGGCATGAGCCACCACGCCTGGCCTCATTCTTTTTTTTTATTTTTTATTTTTATTATTATACTTTTAGGGTACATGTGCACAACATGCAGGTTTGTTACATATGTATACATGTGCCATGTTGGTGTGCTGCACCCATTACCTCGTCATTTAACATTAGGTATATCTCCTAATGCTGTCCCTCCCCCCACCACACAGCCGGCCCCGGTGTGTGATGTTCCCCTTCCTGTGTCCATGTGTTCTCGTTGTTCAATTCCCACCTATGAGTGAGAACATGCAGTGTTTGGTTTTTTGTCCTTGTGATAGTTTGCTGAGAATGATGGTTTCCAGCTTCATCCATGTCCCTACAAAGGACATGAACTCGTCATTTTTTATGGCTGCATAGTATTCCATGGTGTATGTGTGCCACATTTTCCAGTCTATCATTGATGGACATTTGGGTTGGTTCCAGGTCTTTGCTATTGTGAATAGTGCCGCAATAAACATACATGTGCATGTGTCTTTATAGCAGCATGTTTTATAATCCTTTGAGTATACACCCAGTAATGGGATGGCTGGGTCAAATGGTATTTCTAGATCCCTTAGCAATCGCCACACTGACTTCCACAGTGGTTGAACTAGTTTACAGTCCCCATCAACAGTGTAAAAGTGTTCCTATTTCTCTACATCCTCTCCAGCACCTGATGTTTCCTGACTTGTTAATGATCGCCATTCTAACTGGTGTGAGATGGTGTCTCATTGTGGTTTTGATTTGCATTTCTCTGATGGCCAGTGATGATGAGCATTTTTTCATGCGTCTTTTGGCTGCATAAATGTCTTCTTTTGAGAAGTGTCTGTTCATATCCTTCGCCCACTTGTTGATGGGGTTGTTTGTTTTTTTCTTGTAAATTTGTTTGAGTTCATTGTAGATTCTGGATATTAGCCCTTTGTCAGATGAGTAGATTGCAAAAACGTTCTCCCATTCTGTAGGTTGCCTGTTCACTCTGATGGTAGTTTCTTTTGCTGTGCAGAAGCTCTTTAGTTTAATTAGATCCCATTTGTGAATTTTGGCTTTTGTTGCCATTGCTTTTGGTGTTTTAGACATGAAGTCCTTGCCCATGCCTATGTCCTGAATGGTTTGCCTAGGGTTTCCTCTAGGGTTTTTATGGTTTTAGGTCTAACATGTAAGTCTTTAATCCATCTTGAATTAATTTTTGTGTAAGGTATAAGGAAGGGATCCAGTTTCAGCTTTCTACATATGGCTAGCCAGTTTTCCCAGCACCATTTATTAAATAGGGAATCCTTCGCCCATTTCTTGTTTTCGTGAGGTTTGTCAAAAATCAGATAGTTGTAGATATGCGGCATTATTTCTGAGGGCTCTATTCTGTTCCATTGGTCTATATCTCTGTTTTGGTACCAGTACCATGCTGTTTTGGTTACTGTAGCCTTGTAGTATAGTTTGAAGTCAGGTAGCATGATGCCTCCAGCTTTGTTCTTTTGGCTTAGGATTGACTTGGCAACGCGGGCTCTTTTTTGGTTCCATATGAACTTTAAAGTAGCTTTTTCCAATTCTGTGAAGAAAGTCATTGGTAGCTTGATGGGGATGGCAGTGAATCTATAAATTACCTTGGGCAGTGTGGCCATTTTCACGATATTGATTCTTCCTACCCATGAGCATGGAATGTTCTTCTATTTGTTTGTATCCTCTTTTATTTCATTGAGCAGTGGTTTGTGGTTCTCCTTGAAGAGGTCCTTCACGTCCCTTGTAAGTTGGATTCCTAGGTATTTTATTCTCTTTGAAGCAATTGTGAATGGGAGTTCACTCATGATTTGTCTCTCTGTTACTGGTGTATAAGAATGCTTGTGATTTTTGCATATTGATTTTGTATCCTGAGACTTTGCTGAAGTTGCCTATCAGCTTAAGGAGATTTTGGGCTGAGAGGATGGGGTTTTCTAGATATACAATCATGTCATCTGCAAACGGACAATTTGACTTCCTCTTTTCCTAATTGAATACCCTTTATTTCCTTCTCCTGCCTGATTGCCCTGGCCAGAACTTCCAACACTATGTGGAATAGGAGTGGTGAGAGAGGGCATCCCTGTCTTGTGCCAGTTTTCAAAGGGAATGCTTCCAGTTTTTGCCCATTCAGTATGATATTGGCTGTGGGTTTGTCATAGATAGCTCTTATTATTTTGAGATACGTCCCATCAATACCTAATTTATTGAGAGTTTTTAGCATGAAATGTTGTTGAATTTTGTCAAAGGCCTTTTCTGCGTCTATTGAGAGTCATGTGTTTTTTGTCGTTGGTTCAAAACGGCAACTATTCACAATAGCCAAGATATGTAATCAACCCACATGTCCATTAATGAATGAAGAAAGAAAAATGTGTATACACACACACACACACAGACACACACACACAGAGACACACACACACACACACACCAGAATACTATTCAGCTTTTTTATAGCTTTTTTGTAGCTGAATAGTATTCTGGTGTGTGTGTGTGTGTGTGTGTGTGTGTATACACATTTTTCTCTCTTCATTCATTAATGGACATGTGGGTTGATTACATATCTTGGCTATTGTGAATAGTTGCTGTTTTGGTTTAGTGATATATCTTGAAGATCTTCTTATGTTGGTACATAGATATTTCCTCATTGTCTTTTATAATTTCACTGTATTTAATAATCTCCTTTTCATGGATAGCTGCGTTTTAATCTAATCTTTTGTTGTTGCAAATGGTGGAACACAATAAGTGAATGCGCATTATTTTATATGTACTCAGCGTTTTTTTTTTAGTAGTATAAACTCCATATGGTCAGATTTCCCTTTATAGGGATTGTACCAATTTTGCATTCCCATTAGCGATGTGTTAGAGTGCCTGTTTTCCTACAGCCTAAACAGCGTGTGGCCTTCTTAGATTCTTTTTTCTGATAGATTTCCCAAGAAAAAGAATTAACCGTAATTTTAATGTACGTTTCTCTTACATTGAGTGAAGTTGAACATCTTTTCATTTATTTATATTTATTTTTCTATGACCTTTTCATGTACTTTTTTGTCTATTCGGTACATTATGCAGATTTTAAAAATTAAATTAATTTTGTGATAATATATTCACAGGGAGTTTTTTTTTGTTTTTTTGGTTTTTTTGTTTGTTTGATTTTTTGAAATGGAGTCTTCCTCTGCAGGCTGGAGTGCAGTGGTGCAATCTTGGCTCACTGCAACCTCTGCCTCCTGGGTTCAAGCAATTATCCTGCCTCAGTCTCCTGAGTAGCTGGGATTACAGGCGTGCACCACCACGTGCAGCTAATTTTTTGTACTTTTAGTAGAGCTGGAGTTTCGCCATGTTGACCAGGCAGGTCTCGAACTCCTCACCTCAAGTGATCACCTGCCTCAGCCTCCCAAAGTGCTGGGATTACAGGCATGAGCCACCACACCTGGCCACAGGCAGTTGTTTAAAAACCATACTGTTTTAGTTATTGTGGCTTTATGATGTTCTTTCTGATTTTCATTGT
The DNA here is from genome assembly GCF_000001405.40 of Homo sapiens. NCBI lineage: Eukaryota > Metazoa > Chordata > Mammalia > Primates > Hominidae > Homo > Homo sapiens. The sequence goes on along the minus strand of NC_000002.12, from coordinate 17,690,239 downwards.
TAATTTATTCAGTGAATTTAGTAACCTGAGCAAAAGCTATTTATTTTTCTGTGCAAAATCAATTTTAATTCCATGGTCTGCTAGTCACTCACATATTACATTTCTCTATTAGTTATAAAGTAAAATAATTGCAGTAATGATTTAAGAAGCAACTGGAGCTCAAACGAAATTTTAATCCTAGTGGATTTTCCCATTTGGAATTAATAATGTATTGAATAGAGAAATTGCCTAGATCCAATTGCCATAGACATGCATCCATTATTGTAAATACAGCTGGCTCTCTGTATCCACTGATTCCATATCCACAGGTTCAACCAACCACAGATTGAAAAGACTGGGGGAAAAAACTCAAAAACAACAAAAAAAGAACACAATAGTAAAAACTAATACAAATTTTTTAAAAAATACAGAATACAGTGTAACAACTATTTACATAGCATTTACATTGTCTTAGGTATTATAAGTAATCTCTAGAGATGATTTAAAGTATACAGGAAGATGTATATAGGTTATATGCAAATACTATGACATTTATAAAAGGGATTCATGGATTTTGGTATCTGCCCAGGGGGCCCTGGATCTAGTTCCTTTGCAGATACTGAGGGACAGCTCTATCAAAAATCATAAAACTTCAAACATTATTGAAAGGCCATATATATTTAGCATGTATACATGCACACATATACATACACTCACATTACTTTACTTTTTTTTCTGTACCATTCAAAAGTAGGTTTCATAAATCATGACCCTTTACCTCTTAGTACTTCAATATATTCCCTAAGAATAAGAGTATTATCTTACATAACCACAATACTGTTATAAAGTACAGGAAACTTAACATTGATACCTGTAGTCCAGTTCCAATGTTGACGGTTCTCCACGTCTTTCCTACGATATCAGATGCAGTCTAGGGTCGTGTATTTCATTTGTCATGCTCTTTTACAGAATGCTCTTTGTTTTGATTTTATACGATATTTTTTCTTATAATTAGGTTCATATGTGTTCTTGGCCAGGATGCTACAGAAATGATGATGTATCGTTTTCTGGGTATCACATCCAGAGGCACATAATCTGTCTATCTATTTCTCTCTCTCTCTCTTACTGATGATGTTAATTTTGATCACCCAGTAAAGGTGTTAATTGGTTTTTCCATTATATGCTTTACTATTTTTTCCCTTGCAACTAATAAACATTCTGCAGACAGACACTTTGCAACCCTGCCAGTATCCTGCTTTTCATCATATTTTCATCCCTAGATTTATCCTCTGCTAATGATTCTTACCTGAACGAATCTTTACTATACTGCTTGCAAAATGAGGAGTTTTCAATTCTGTTGCATCCTTCATATTTATCAGTCACTTGTAAGGAAGAGCCTATGTTATCTCCAATTTATCTATTTGTTAATTTATTTACTTGCCTTTGCAATATGGACTTTGCAATTATTGCCAAATCCCCTCTGCAAGATATGTTTACAATTATTTTTTTTCTGGTATTTAGTAAATTTACTGTGTTGTAAAGTTACTTGGATTAGGTTTTTCTCTCTACTGTTACAGTTATTAATTGACTTGATTTGGAAATGTTTCTATTTGCATTCAGTTTCCACAGATTTCTGTTTTACTCAATGGACTATAGTCATTTACGGTCCATGTTTATCTTAAGATTTTCTTTTTCTGAGACAGGGTCTCGCTCTGTTGTCCAGGCTGGAGTTCAGTGGCAGGATCTCGGCTCACTGCAACCTCTCCCTCCCGGGCTCAAGTGATCCTCCCACCTCAGCCTCCCAAAGTGCTGGGATTACAGGCATGAGCCACTGCATGGCCTATTTTAAGATTTAAATTGTTCCATCTTTGGTCAAATGGAGGCTCTTCAAGCTGGTTCCTGCATTTTCTTAACATGCTTTCCTTCTTGTTTTTTTTTTTTTTTTAATAGCATTTTTAAACTTTGTGACATAACAAAATATTTCAAGCTCATTCTATACCTGACCCAGCCTTGGAGTCAGTAACTTCTCCAAAGAGCCCTGGTTCCTTTTTTTAAGGAATGATACCTAAAAACAAAATTTGGATTTTAGGGATGCTAATTGTTGCTGGGGTAGCATTTCTTCCAGTACCTTTCAGTTAACAGAATTAAAAACGTGAGTTTGTATTGGTGTCTCCAGTGGCAGTCCAGTCCCACAAAGGGCTTTTTAACCTTAACCTATTCCTTGTTTCTGTCTTTTTTTCCTCCACAGGAGGAATTCTGGCTCTCAACAACGTTAATATTTACTCAGTTCCACAATATATATCTACAGAAAGAAAATTATTGAAAAACATTCAAGATGTGTTTGCAATTATTTTTTCTCTACTATTTAGTAAATTTACTCTGTTCTAAAGTTATTTGGATTAGGTTTTTCTTTATTGTTGTAGTTATTAATTGACTTGATTTAGAAATGCTTTTATTTGTTTTTGTTTACATTCAATTTTTCTCTGATCCTTGTTTATTTAATTTCTCTTTGAGGGGAATATGTAGAAATTAACATGGTTTCACAAGTCAAAGCCATAAACAAAAGTATATTCAGGGAAATGTTCTCCCTCTTTCATCCCTTCCACACCATTTCCCCTGGCCCACTCCCTATAGGCAACAGTTCTTTTTTATTTTCTATCTTTCATGTTTTTTATTTGTTTGTGAAAGTAAGCAGGTTCATATGTGTTTTCTTTTTTCCATGGTTCCTCTACTTTTTTTCACAAAAGGTAGTCAACCATCTTGCTTTTGTCATTCACCAATGTACCTGAAGATCACTCCATATCAGTTCATTGAGATCTTCCTCATTCTTTTTACAGCTTCATTGTACTCTGTTTTGTGAGTCTGCACACACACATTGATCTGTACCATAGTTTATTCAGTCATTCTGTGTGTGTGCATTTTGGTTATTTCCAGTATTTTGCAGTTACAGATAATGCTGCAGTGAATTATCTTGCACATGCACGCACACATGTATATGTGTGCTATTGGATACACTTGTGGCATCATATAAGTGCTCGAATCTGTATCTTCATAGTAATTTTCCAGAAGTGACTTTACTAGTTTGAAGCATAAATGTGTAAGTGGTTTTGTTAGATATTTTCAAACCTTCTCTATAGGGTGTGTATCATTTTTGCATTTGCGCCAACATTGTACAGGTTGAGTATTCCTTATCCAAAATGCCTAGAACCAGAAGTATTTTGGATTTTGGAATATTGGCATATAGATGAGATATCTTGGAGATAGGACCCAAATCTAAACACAAAAATTCATTTATGTTTTATATACACCTTATACACATAGCCTGAAGGTAATTTTATGCAATTTTTAAATAATTTTGTTCACGGAACAAAGTTTGTATACATTGAATCATCAGAAAGTGAAGACGTTACTATCTTAGCCATCCATGTAAACAATCTGTGGTTGTTTGACATCACTGTCATTCCTGATTCTGAATTTATATAAGCAATCGTTTTCTTACACTAATTCACACATAAGTACTTAGTAAAAAATGTAACATACATATCCATGTATGTATGTCATACATGTACAGAAAAGATACATCACAGCTGAAGGGGGCTAGGAAGGTCTCTTTTCCCTTGGGGGCACTGAATAAATAAACTGCATTGTGTACCTGCGTTTTTACTGCAACCTGTCCCATGAGGTCAGGTGTGGAATTTTTCACTTTTGGCATCATATCAATGCTCGAAATGTTTCAGATTTTGAAGTATTTTGAATTTCAGATTTTTGCCTTGCTTTTTGGGACGGAGTCTCACTCTGTTGCCCATGCTGGAGAGCTGCGGCACAATCTTGGCTCACTGCAACCTCTGCCTCCTGGATTCAAGCAATTCTCCTGCCTCACCCTCCCAAGAAGCTGGGATTACCAGCACCTGCCACCATGCCCAGCTAATTTTTGTATTTTTAGTAGAGACAGGGTTTTACCATGTTGGCCAGGGTGGTCTCGAACTCTTGACCTCAAGTGATCCTCCTGCCTTTGCCTCCCAAAGTGCTGGGATTATAGGCAGCAAAGTGAGATACCGTACCTGGCCAAATTTCAAATTTTTGGATTAGGAATGCTCAACCTGTATGAGAAAGGATACTTTTTCCCCAACTTTGCCAACAAAGTGTATAGTGTATAGTTACGCTTTGTAATTTGTGCCTGTCTGATGGCTGAGAAATTGTATATTAATGTAACTTTAATTACATTCCATCATTATGAATAAAACTCAACATTTTTTCATATATTTAAGAATCATTTTTATACCTTGTGAATTATCTATTCTTTTTTAAAATTATTTTTCTATGGTGTTTTTCCCCTCAAAGTTTAAGTTTTTAACATATATATATATAGATATATATGGAGTATTAGCCAAATATTGCAGATTTTTCTCTTGATTTCTTTGTTGAATTTGCATTTATATTTTTTGCCATGAAAAGATTATTTTTATTTAGTTCAATTTGTCATTCTTTGATTACATCTGGATTTTGGGTCATAGTTAAAATGCTTTTCTCTACATCTAGGTTATGGAGGTATTCACCTATGATTTTTTTTTCTTATTCCTTTTTCCACATGTTCTAATTACCTATGATTTTTTAGTACTTCTATATGTCCATTTTTGTATATCTGTGATTTATTTGGAGTTTATTTTTATGTATGGTGTGAGGAATAGATTTTGTCTTTTTCCACATGACTATGCAGCCATTTGAAAAGTTGTTTGTTCTTTTTTGCTTGAGAATGGTGTGTATGAATATTTTCTATGTTTTACAAGTTGATAAGAATTTGTCTTTAGCTTTTATGTTTGAAGGATAGTTTCACCTAATATAAAATCCTTAGCTCATACTTTTTCTCCTGATGAGCATCTTGTTTATGTTGGTGTTTGTCTATTATGTCCTGTAACTTATCCAGAATGTTAGAATTCAGTGATTTTTTTCATTGCTAAACATTGCTTTTTCAATATTTAGATTTAAGTCTTTTAGTTCTTAAAAAATTTGTTGAATTTTACTTTAAAATATTTTGTTTCATTGTTTTGGTTTTTTTTTGAGGTCTTTAGTTATGTTGAATATCTATATCTTCTCTAGTTATCATTTTGTCTAACCATTTTGTCTTTTTTTTTCATTTTGCTTGATTTTCTCATTTATGTTCTTTATTTCCATCTATGTGTTTTCCACATTTCTCTTTTCTCCTATGCATCTTCTCATTTTGTCTTCATATCTGTGTGTGTTCTTTTTAGGAGGAGGTTCTAGCCCTCCTACCTTCCCGTCTGTGGGTTCTCTTGCTTTACCTACTCCTCTTGTTTGATTATTACCTTCTTTTGTGTATCTATTCTTTCAGTTCTTTTATGTCTGCTTTGAGGTATTCCTTCCTGGTAGCACTTGTCTAATGTTCGTGTTTGTTTGTTTGTTTGTTTTTATTCTTTAAGACAGGCTCTTGCTCTGTCACCCAGGCTGGAGTGCAGTGGTACAATCATGGCTCACTGCAGCCTTGAACTTCTGGGTTCAAGTGATCCTGTGCCTCACCCTCCTGAGTAGCTGGGACCACAGGCACATGCCACCATACCTGGCTAATTTTTATTTTATTATTTGTAGAAACAGAATCTTGCTATATTGTCCAAGCTGGTCTCTAATTCCTGGACTCAAACGATCCTCTCATCTTGGCCTCCCAAAGTGCTGGGATTATAGGTGTGAGCCAATACAACTGGCCTCTTGTTTTGTTTTAATTTATGGTGTTCAATTATAATTTTCATCTGCTTTGTGGCAACACTGTTCTAATAAGTTTTCTTTGTCTGTAGGAGAGTTTTGCTGTTCTTTTTCATATTTTCCCCATAAATATCTGGATGCTGTGCCAGCGCGTTTTTTGTTACTTATTTTTTTAATTAGTTGAATTTTCCTGGGCCAGTTATTTGAAGGAGAATGGGAAGGGTAGCTGTGGGAGCCTCGACCAGGGTTGCCTTTCATGCTAATTCAGTTATAGGCTTGCCACAGTAATAGGCTGTTGCCTTTTGTAATAGCACTCTGAGTAGCCATGCCATCTCTGCCTCTTTGATCTTATCTTGTTTAGGACAGGGGAGGGTGGATTCTAATGCTGGCTTGAGTTCTTTTTTTCTTTTATTGGCATCTGTCACTGAAGGAAACCTTTCTTCCAGTGTGACCCCTTCCCTTTTTGAAGGTGTGTATTTGCTAGTATTCTCTAAGATCTGCCACCTCTAGGCCGTACCAGGGCATTTGTTCACACACTGTCTCTGCCTCCTCTAGGGCTTGGACCTTGTTCCTTCCCTGTCAGGATAGCACTTTCTTATTCCGTACCACCCTTTCATTCTGGGAGTGTAATTTGCCTGGAAATTTATGAAATTGACTGCTACTAGGCCCCCTTAGTACTCTCTGCCCCTCCCTGTTCTTCCCAGTTAAATCTGTTTGAGATTCTACTGTTATGTTTTTTACGTGTGGTGTATTTTTTACGTAATATTTTGTTTATATAATAGGCAGTACCAAGAAGCAAGAGAGACCTATCTTGATCTGGATAGTAAAGTGAGGACTTTAAAAAAGTTTATTAAATTACTGGGAGAAATCATGGAGCACAGATTCAAGACATATCAACAATTTAGAAGGTAAGTACATTGAAAAATGTTACTATATATTATACATTTTTGTGTTTCTCTGTTTTCATATTATTTATATAATTCTGTTATAGCAGAGACTATTAATGCTTGCTTTGTTATTCAGTTCTTAGGATTCTCTAATTTAATCAGACAATTCCGAATCTGAAGGGCTCTTTATGGTGAGCTTATCCAACTTTTCCACTCTGTTAGATATTCTTTATGCTTAATAGGTCTTTTATGCTTAAATAGGTCCTTTGAAAGGGAACTCATTGGTTCTAAAATAGCTTATTTTACCCTTGACTATTGCATGTTTTTAATGGATACAAGCATTTGGTAGGAACTATAAAGGTAATACCTCAGTTGATTTACCATAATCTACTAGAATGACGTAGCTCCATGAATGTAGAAACTCTGTTTTGTTTACTGCTGTATCTCTAGTTTCTATAATCATACCTGATACATACCAATATACATTGGTTGGATAAATGAATACAGAATTAGGGAAACTGGATATTAACATATCCAGAGATGTACAGACTCACAGAGATAGATTGACTCCAACTGATCACAAGTGACAGAAATAAACAGAGGATAATTGATAGGGAGGGACGGTCCTTTAATATACATGAATCCGAGACAGCCCTAGTCCTTCCATTTGCCTCTGTTTTTCTCCAGGCAAATTCCCTCAGTAATACACTTTTTAAAACTGTCTTTACACCAAAAATTCTACCATCTTAAGCTTGTACAAATTAAAAAAAAAAAAGGTACCTAGCTCTTATATTCCTTAGTGAAACTACAGGTTAGTTTTTGAAATTCCTGTTTCAGTTTTACAGGCATATTAGTAGGGCTTGAATTAAATAGGACCCATTTTTACCCTTTTGAGGCTACTTTTAGCCTTGTTAGATGAGATTAGAGCAGCCGTTGGTTGTGGGCTAATTTTTTCCTACCTCTGAGGCAGTGCTATTTTGAGTACTCTACCGATACCTTGTAAATCACAAGGTTTTCACTCTGGCCAATAAGAACATGAACTATTCCTGGTCGTGTGTGAGCTGTCGGAATTACTTCTATTTCCTTTGGATATTTCTTTTCCCAGCCTCAAATGGTGTCCTCACACCTATGCACTGACCAGTACTCAGCTCAAGACTGGAGCAGAACCCTTTATAGATCCTCTGGAGTTTATTTTGCCTCCCCAGATTCCCAGCTCCAGCTCCTGAAACAAGAGCAACAGCTCCACTTTGATTTCTACTCCTTTGTCCTCTGTCGGTGAAGAGCAGTGTGGGGCATTGGTGGGGTTCAATTTGTTTCCTAGAACTAGCAGGCAGTTCTAGTCAAATGACCTGATAGTCACTATCTGATAGCCAGAGTGTGAAAACCCTCAGAGTTTGGAAGAAGTTAATTTCAACCCCCTTGGATGTCCTTGAGGGATTCAGTGGAGGAAGTGACTGCAGATATGGTGGAAGTGGCAAGAGAACTAGAATTAGATGTGGAGCCTGAAGATAGCCAGAGTCTGAAAATGCTTGTTTTATATATTTTGTCTCGTTTTTTAGTTTCAGGCAGAAGAATAAACCCAATCTCTATTACTACATAAATCTGTTCCAGATGCAGTAAGATTTATTTTTATATCATTACTCAGAAATTTGTATTTAAAAGGTTTTTTTAAAGTACTGATCTTACAGTTTACAGGCATACCTCATTTTACTGCAGTTCACTTTACTGCACTTTACAAATATTTCATTTTTTACAAATTGAAGGTTTATGGCAAGCCTGCTTCAACCAAGTCTGTCAGCACCATTTATCCAACAGCATATGATCCCTTTATGTCTCTGTGTCATATTTTGTTTAATTTTTGCAATATTTCAGACTTTTTCATTATTATTAATCTGTTGTAGTGATCTGTCATCAGTGATCTTTGTTACTGTTCAAATTGTTTTCGGGTGCCACAGACTGCCCATATAAGACAGCAGACTTCATCAACAAATGTTGTGTGTGTTCTTCCTGCTCCACTGACTGGCTATTGATTCCCTCATCTCTCTGTCCCCTTGGGTCTCCCTATTCCCTGAGACACAGCAATATTGAAATTAGGCTAGTTAATAGCCTTACAGTGACCTCTGAGTGTCCAAGTGAAAGGAAGAGTAGGATTTCTATCACTTTAAATCAAAAGCTAGAAATGATTAAGCTTAGTGAGGAAGGTATGTCAAAAGCCAAGATAAGCCAAAAGCTAGACCTCTTGTGCCAGTTAGCCAAGTTGTAAATGCAAAGGAAAAGTTCTTGAAGGAAATTAAAAGTGCTATTCCAGTGAATACACTAATGATAAGAAAATTAAACAGCCTTATTGTTGATATGAAGAAAGTTCCAATGGTCTGGATAGAAGATCAAAGCAGCTACAACATTCCCTTAAGTCAAAACCTAATCCAGAGCAATGCCTTAACTCTCCAATTCGATGAAGGCTGAGAAAGGTGAGGAAGCTGCAGAAGAAAAGTATGACGCTAGCAGAGGTTTGTTCATGAGGTTGAAGGAAAGAGGCCGTCTTTGTAATATAAAAGTGCAAGGTGAAACAGCAAGCGCTGATGTAGAAGCTGCACATTATCCAGAAGAACTGACTAAGATAACTGATGAAAGTGGCTACACTAAACAATGGATTTTCAACACAGACAAAACAGCCTTGTATTAGAAGATACGATCTACGGCTTTCATAGCTGGAAAGGAGAAGTCAATTCCTGGCTTTGTAGGACAGGCCAAATCTCTTATTAGAGGCAAATGAAGCTAGTGACTTTAAGTTTAAGCCAATGTTTATTTACCATTCTGAAAATCCTAGGACCCTTAAGAATTGTGCTAAATCTACTTTGTATGTGCTCTACAAATGGAAAAACAAAGCCTGATGAGAGCACATCTGTTTATAGTATCATGGATTACTGAATATTTTAAGCCCACTATTGAGTCCTACGGCTCAGAAGAAAATATTTCTTTGAAAATGTTACTGCTCATTGACAGTACACCTGGTCACCCAAGAGCTGATATGATATACAAGGAGATTAATGTTGTTTTCTTGCCTACTAACATCTATTCGTAACCCATAGATCAAGGAGTAATTTTAACTTTCAAGTCTTTTATTTGAGAAATATATTTTGTAAGACCATAGCTGCTGTACGTAGTGATACCTTTAATCGATCTGAGCAAAGTAAATTGAAAACCTTCTGGAAAGGACTCATCATTCTAGATAGCATTAAGAACATTTATGATTCATGGGAGGAAGTCAAAATATCAACAACAGTGTAAACAAAACTTTTGTATGCAGTGGGAAACCAAAAAATGTGTGTGACTCACTTTATTGCAATATTCGCCTTTTTTGTGGTAGTCTGGAACTGAACCTGCAGTATTTCTGAAGTATGCTGTATTACCTTCATATGATTCTTCACCACTGACATATTTCATATTGTTTACCCAGTCTTAGAAGGGGAGTAAAAATGACCTAATTTTTAAAATTGTTTATGTCTTTACTCTGGAGAACTTTGCCATTTTATGACAACAGTCTCTTTTAGACATCCCATGAATGGAAGCAATGAATGAATACATATCTGTATTGAAAGAAAAGTTAACAGAAAACTCTGAAAACCAGCTAGCAGTGGTTGCTGTGGCAGCAGAAGGAAACTCAGGCTATCAGTGATTTCTAGTGTGGGAATTTAATGCAGTTCAGGGAGGGAAATAGGAAGGAAAAGAGTACCAGAGAAATGAGCCTTAGGTTTACTAGGGAGCAAAGATGTTATGAAACCACAGCCAGTGACTTACCATGCAGATTTTATTTTCTAAATACCATTCCCCACTAAAAGGAACCAGGGCTCCATGGAGAAATGGCGATTCCAGAGCTGGGCAGGGAAGGTACAGATGAGCCTCATACTATGGCAGAGAGGAAGGAAGGGCTGAGAAAAAAAAGGGGGGACACATCCAGCTTGAAGGGGTGCCCATTGGAAAAATCTAGGACAGTCTGAGGATCTCAATAAGGATAGTAATAGATGGTGTGAATAATGTAAAAATAAAGCCAATGAATATCAGACTCCCTAATCTATTCTGATAAATAGAAAGTTAGATAAGGAAATAAAGAACTGAGGAAGAAGGGAAAGTTCCTTACAGTAAAATGCCATCTAATATATAGAGAAGGAAAGATAGAGTTTGCATTGTGCCAAGCAAAGTGTAAGGCATTAGAGGTACCCAGTGCTTAAGAGAGTGCCCTTAGCTTTTTTGCTACTGTGAAGTTAGAAGGAGGCAAATAAATAGATACTTTGTCCATTTATCTTGTCACCATTACAGTTAATCCTCTCAAGGACAAGATACCTTTATAATGTATTAGGGTAATGCCTTAGATTATTAATTAGTTGAATGACTGATGCATTCCTAAGCACTGACTGTGGTATAATGGGTTATATTAAATGTGAGATGACTCTTTAATTCATTTCATTAATTTTTTTGTTATAAAAGTAAATGAACTGGTGAAAGTGTAGGGACATAAATGAATATAAAGACACAAGGCAAAAAATACTACCTAAAACTCAACTATTAAATGAGTAACCAATGTTTACATTTTGGCATATTTCCATCTGGTTTTCTCACATGCTTAGATCATGCTGAATATAGTTTTTAAAAAACCTTTGCCCTCTTTTTAATGTGCCTAATTTTTAAATTTCAAGGTGTTTGACTTTACGATGCAAATTATACTTTGACAACTTACTATCTCAGCGGGCCTATTGTGGAAAAATGAATTTTGACCACAAGAATGAAACTCTAAGTATATCAGTAAGTATCCTAATTCTTTTCATCCTAATCATTAGAAAAACTAGTTGTTTCTTTTCTTTTCTATTTTTGTTGGGTTTTTTTTAGAGGCAGAGTCTTACTCTGTTGCCCAGGCTGGAGTGCAGTGGTACAATCATAGCTCACTGTAACCTTGAACTCATAGGCTCAAGCGACCCTCCTGCCTCAGCCTCCCAAGTAGCTAGGAGTATAGGTGCATGCCACCATGCCCAGCTAATTTTTTTTTTTTTTTTTTTTCCGTATAGACAAGGTCTCACTATGTTGCCCAAGCTGGTCTTAAACTCCTGGCCTCAAGCAATTCTCCTGCCTTGGCCTCCCAAAGTGCTGGGATTATCGGTGTGAGCCACCATGCCCAGCCTGCTGCTTTTCTTTTGATAAAACATTGATAAACTTTAACCTGTTGTCTTTGATTTTTAAGTTAAGGATGGTCTTTGCCAAGGTGTTGAATTTAAATCGATCTTACTAAATAAAGCTGCTAGCGTAGATTTTATTTTTAGACAAACACATTATTTTCTTAGGGTGATAATTGGGAAGTTTTTTTCAGTGACAAGTATTTACCTTGTCTTTCTACTCCACTAGTTCCCTTTTAAAATTTACACAGCATTTTAAATTATTTGGGACTTTATGGAAAGTACATAGTCTCCAGTCTCCTAAAAGGAAGCAAAGATGGTTCTTCCCCACTTAATTGTGTTTATACTATTTACTTCTGAAGTTGTCCCTAGATCTGGCCACTTTTGAGTAAAAAAAACTGCCGTGTTCAACTTGATTTGATGGGTTCTTTCATAGTCATGTGTTAAAAGAGGGCATATGGAGATATGGCATTAAAAAAAATGTGTAGCCAGGAGGTCAGGAACAACTATCCACTCTAAATATTCTGGGGCAGAATTTTCAAATAATTACCTACTACTCTTAGTTACCATAAATCTTATCCTTTCATTTTAATACTTACAATAAATGTTAAATTTTTGGAACATCTTTTTTGTTTAAAAGCTCTGCATTTTAACCATATTAGAAAGTTAACTTTTACTCTCTCTTTAATTTCTACTGGTAGATCATGGGTAACTCCTCTTTACCTGCCTTTGGTTTTTAAAAGACCCATTTATTAAAGATACAATTTTGAAAGTATTGGGAGGAATTGTGCTTATTGATAGGGAAGGTAGTATGTCATGGTAGTCTATTGTTCTCACTGCAGACTATAAAAAAGCCAGGGAAATTACAAAACTTTTATTTTTAAAGACATTGGAAAGCTGTCTAAGCAATAATGAGTAGACAAATTGGAATTCCAAGGGATAGGGGAGCCTGTCCAAGGTAAGCTGACAATTGCTGGACGTTTTCTTTCCTGGGAGTGTTTGCTGATTCTGGACTTTGAGTAGTCTAGTAGTAGTAGGAGGGCTGACAAGACAGAGTAGAAACTTGGGAAGGGAACTGCTAGGCACCTAACTAATATTTCAGTTAGTCAATTCCTGAGTTCTGATGTTGTGCACAGTTGGCCCAAGGAACAGTTATGAATGATAAATGGACTAAGTCTTAGGAAAGTTGCAATTTAAGCCCAACCCAGCTTTCTCCCTTATTGACTGTGAGCCCTATCATACCTCAAGCCTAATATAAGGAAAGGGGGCCCCTCTTTAGTGAAATATTGTACGTTTGGAGACGCCATTGTTCTTTTACACAAAATATCAAGCATAAGGTAATAAAGACTGCGTGCTTACCCCTAAGATCAGGAAGAAAGCAGTTCTGTCCACGCTCACCATTTATATTCAGAAGTAGAACTAAAGGTTCTAGCCAGTGCAGTTAGCCCAGAAAAAGAACTAAAGGCATGTATATTGGAACAGAAGAAGTAAAATTCTTCTGATCCACAAATAATATGGTTATCTCTGCAGAAAATCTGATGGAATCTACAAAAAGAGCTACTAGAACTAGTTGAAGTCATAACTAGCAAGGTTGCAGACACAATCAGTATGCAAAAATTAATTACATTTCTATGTACTTGCACCAAATGATTAGAAATTGAAATTTTAAAAAATACTATTTATATTAGCATCAAAAATATAAACTACCTAGGGAAAAATCTGCCAGAGATATTTAAGACCTGTACACTGAAAACTACTAAAATAGATGCTGAGAAGCTAAAGAAGACCTAAATAAGTGGAGAGATATAGGGTGTTGTTAGATCAGAAGACTCAGTATTATTAAGAAGTAAGTTCTTCCCAAATTGATATACAGACTGCCTCAACTCAATTTTCATTAAAATGCCAGCAGACGTTTTTGTAGAAATTGACAAGCTGATCCTAAAATTCATATAGAAATGCAAAGGGCCTAAAATAGCCAAAACAACTTTGAAAATGAAGAATAAAATTGGAAGACTTATCAAATTGTACACTTTAAATATATGCAGCTTATTATATTTCATTTATATTTAAAGCTGTAAAAATTGCCACATATATGAAGAAGCATGGAAAGGTGATTGATAATTTTTTTTAAAGTAGGAAATAGAACCAGACTACCAGATGATAATTACAAGAGAAAGCAGACTAGTATTTTTAACCATGATTAATTTGTTAAAGAACATAGAGTTAATCATAAACAAAATGGACAAAACAGATCCAGAGTTTCAACATAGAATTGGAATCCACAATTTCAATACAGAATTGGAAGCTACAAGAATATTCTAAAACTGAAAAGTGCAGCATCTGAAATTAAGAACTCATTGGATGGATTTAACAGCCAACTGGACACAACAGAAGACACAATTAACAAATCAAGGCAGGTCGAAAGGAAATATCTAAATTGAACAGCATAAAAACAGAAAACACTGAACAGAGTTTGAGATATGAGGAGCACAACCAGCAAGTTTAACATAATTGGAGTCCCGATAGGATAGAACAAAGAATGAGCAGAAAGAATATTTGAAGAGAGAATGTTTGAGAATTTTCAAAACTGAAATACATCAATCTAGATTCAGAAACCTCAGCAACCTACAAGTGAGGTAAATATAAAGAAAACCATACCTGAAATTTATATGATAGTCAAATAGCTGAAAACCAAAAACAAAGAGGTAACCTTACCTTTTTGTAAGTAGCAAGAGAAAAAATATGCATTAGTTTCGAAAGAGCAACAATAAAACCAAAGGCAGAGTTTTTAACAGAAATTGTGAAGGTAAATGTTACCTGACAGACTTTAAAGTGCTAGCAGAATTGGTTTTAAAAACTGATATCTAGAATTCAATAACTAGCAAAACTACCTTTCAAAAATGAGGATGAAACATCTTAGTTTTCAGACAAACAAAAGCTGAAATAATTATTCTTCAGTATGCTTGGCCTACAAGAAATACTAAAGAACATCTTCAGATGAAAGAAAAATGGTCACAGATGGAAACATGGAAATGCAGAAGGAACAGAGAGGAATGCAAAAGGTAAATCTATGGGTAAATACAAAACAGTTTCAGCCGTCTAAATCAACAATAATAATATTGCTGAATAGACACCCAAGTCTTGAGGGGCTTAGAAGCTGTAAAAGTCAAATATATGACAATAGCACAAAAAGGGAATAGAAGTACATGGAGTTCTAAACTGTTGTAAGGTTCTTATACTTTTCAGGAAGTAATACCAATACTAATTTAAGATAAACTAATACATCAGCAATACATATTGCAATCTCTAGAGTAACCACTGAATTTTAAAAGGATGTATAATTTTAAAGCTAACAGAGACCAAATAAAAGGAATGGAAAACAAAAATACTCAATTATATGAAGGCAAAAAGGGAAGAGAAATAAAGAACATATGGAACAAATTGAAAGGAGATGCATGGCTCAGATCTAGATATATCAGCAATTACATTAAGTGTAAGTGCACTAAATTATTAAATTAAAAACAGGCTGAAAAGAAAAATACAAAAACTAACTGTATGCTGTTTATCAAAATACACCTTAAATATTAACATAAGGACAGAGAAGATCCTAAGTAAAATATGGTAAAAGATACACCATGAAAACATTAGCCAAAGGGAAGCTGGTTAAGCTGTAATAATAACAAAATAGACTTTATGCAAGAAATATTACTAGAGGCCAAAAGGGCCATTTCATGGTTATAAAAGTTATTTTAAAAAATTTTTAATTTGTATATACCTAATAACATAGCTTCAAAATACATAAAAATTGGGAGAACTAAAAGGCAAAGTAAAAGAATTGACAATTACAGTTGGAAATTTTAATAAACTTTTCTCAATAATGGATAGAACAATCAGATTAAAAGTCAGTAAGGCAATATAAGATTTAAATTACACAACCAAATTAATTGGCAGAACTATAGAACATTGTGCCAAACTACCACAGAGTGTATATTGTTTTGAAGTACATGTGGAACATTTACCAAAATAGACCATTTCCTGGCTATAATGCAAATGTCAACAAATTTCAAAGGATTGATGTCATACAGAATATATTGTAAAGTGGAATTAAATTAGAAATAACAGATAACCTTAAAACTTAATGAATGTTAGAAAATTAGGCAGCACATTTCTATGTAATCTGTAGGTCAAAAAAGAAATCAAATAGAAATTAGAAGATAATTTTGAATCAAACAACAATAAAAAGAAAACATCAAAACTTGTATGATACAGCCATAGGATTTCTCAGAAGGGAATTTATAGCTCTAAATATATACATTAGTAAAAATGGAGGGCTGAACATTAATGATCTAAGTTCTATCTCAGGATGCTAAAAGGAAAAAAGCCTATTATAAATTCAAGTAGAGAGAAGGATACAGTGATATAAGAGCAGAAATTGGAGAGTAGAAAGCAAATGTACAATAGCAATGAAACAATAGACACCTGAGGAGGACCTTACCTGTGTGCATAAATCATACATATATGTAATGACAGGACTCCACTGCAAGCCTGTGGAAGAGGGTGGTCTTCTCATGAATGGTGTTAGGTTCAAATTGTTGGATATCCTTTTGGTAAAATAAACAGTAAGCGGCCGGGCGTGGTGGCTCATGCCTATAATCCCGGCACTTTGGGAGGCTGAGGTGGGTGGATCATCTGAGGTGGGGAGTTTGAGACTAGCCTGACCAACATGGAGAAACCCCATCTCTACTAAAAATACAAAATTAGCTGGGCATGGTGGCACATGCCTGTAATCCCAGCTACTCGGGAGGCTGAGGCAGGAGAATCGCTTAAACCCGGGAGGCGGAGGTTGCAGCGAACCGAGATCACACCATTACACTCCAGCCTGGGCAATAAGAGCGAAACTCTGTCTCAAAAAAAAAATTTAAAAAAAAAAATTTTTTTTTAAATAATAAACAGTAAGCAAAGTTTGACCCCCTAACTTTATATACAAAAAGTAATTTAGAAGTTGATCATAGACCTAAATTTAAAACAAGCTTCTAGAGGAAGAGAATGTCTTCATGTTTTTTTGAATGGGACACAAAAAGCAACCTACTCAAAAGAAAAGATTGATAATTTGGACTTTATTAAAATTAAGAACTTCATCAAAAAGTAACATTAAGTGATAAAAGAAGCTACAGACTAGGAAAAGATATTTGTGATGCATACATGCAACAAAAGACTTACCTAGAATTAAAAAATAGTAAGAAAGAGACTGACATCACATTTAAAATAGTCAAAAGGCTTAAATAGAAACCACTTTAAAGTATCTAAATGGTGAGTAAACACATGAAAAAGCGCTGTTAGTCATCAGAGAAATATTATTTATACCACAGTAAGTTACTGTCACACCGTTATGATGATGATGAAAATGAACAAGACTGGCAATATTTTGTGCTGGTGAGGATGTGGAATTGCAACTCTCATATATTGCTTGTGGGAGTGTAACTTGGTCAAACTAATTTGGAAACCTCTCTGTCGATGTCTGTTAAAGCAGCTCCATTCTTGGGCATAAACCCAAGAAAAAATTAGTGCTTATTTTCTCAAACAGATATATTTGAAAATGTTCAAAGAAGTTTTATTTATCATAGCCCAAAACTGAGAAACCCAGTGTCTACCTAGAGTCAAATGGATAAATTCGGGTATATTCAAACAGCGACATACTGTTCCGTAATGAAAATAACAAACTGCTGTTGCACACAACATAGATGATCTGACAATGGCGAGTGAGAGAAGCCAGTTACAAGGATGTACATAGTGTATATAAATCTGAAGTATATGTACAAAAGAGTATGTGTAACCTCTACATATGAAGTTCAGAAACTGTTAAGAGTGATTTTGGGTGATTAAAATCAGAATAATAGTTACCTTTTCAGGGATGGTAATATACAAATAGTTTGCTTAGATGCTGGGGATATTCTTGTGTCTTGATCTCAGTAGTGGTTACCCAGGTGTGTGTATGTATTCATGTAAAAATTGAGTTGTACACTTTTGTGTTCTTTATAAAAACTATTACTGTAATAAAAAAATGGAGAAAAAAAAGTATTAGAAGTGCTTGAATAATTTATCTCCACAGCTAACTATACAAAACAACTCAAGCTAGACTTTCTGATGTTGTCATCTCTGTTTTTCAAAAGAATACCAGAAGAATCTTTAATTTATGTGGCCTTCATTTTACTAATAAGGAAAGTGACACTGAAGTTCCATGATATGTTAGTAATAGATGAGAGGGTAAAAGCTAGATCCCCCAGATTTACTTGGGGCTTCATTTATTAAATTGGTGCAAAATACAGTGTGGGGGCAAGATTGCATCTTGGTATTTAGTTCTTGCTTTTTTATATGGGAATTTTTATTTGCTTGATTGTTGGTTTGGTTTGTTTAGACTTATGATAGGTGTAAAATTTTAGAGTATGTTTAGAATTGGAATATTTACCTTAGAATATTAATAATGTTAATATTAAAAAATAAATGAATGCTCACTTGAGAGCAGTATCACTTTTCAAACAGTGAATTGAAAAGTATTGGAAGCTATATGTCTGCTATTGATATGAAACTAGTTGTTGCTCTTTTTTCACCTTGTATGCATATATGTATATCTGGAATTTTGTCAAAAAAATAGAACCCTTCCTAATGTTATTGTATATTCTCAGGAAATTGTGTGAATGATTTGCTGTTAATTTTATTAGTTGCTTTCTTATTGTTTCCATGGACCTTTATTTAGTAAATAATTTTTTAAAGATTTTATTTAGCTTTTAAAAGAAATTTAAAATTATTTAAATTTTAAAAGATTTTATTTAGAATTCAAAATAAATACAATACAAAAGAAATTTTTTTTTTTTTTTTTTTTTTTTTGAGACGGGGTCTCGCTCTGTCGACCAGGCTGGAGTGCAATGGCATGATCTTGGCTCACTGCAACCTCTGTCTCCCAGGCTCAAGCAATCCTCCCACCTCAGCCTCCCAAGTAGTTGGGACCACAGGAGTATGCCACCATGGCCAGCTAGTTTTTGTATTTTTGTGTGTGTGTGTGTGGAGATGAGGTTTCCCCATGTTGCCCAGGCTGGTCTCGAACTTCTAGGGTTCCTTTAAAGGATTCCTAAAGCAATCCTTTAAATCTTTTAAAAGATATATTTCAATGCATTTCTTTGGCCAGTGTAAGCTTTTTAAAGTTGATTTCTGTCCTTTTGACGTTCAGTAATCACTTTTAATGCAGCTTAACCACTAGGTGTCACTATAATTCAAGTAACAAAAAATCTCAGCACTTTTAAATGTTTGAAGCTTAAGTTTCAGGGTTAGGTGTGGTGGCTTACACCTGTAATCCCAGCACTTTGGGAAGCTGAGATGGGAGGATTGCTTGAACCGAGGAGTTCAAGACCAGCCTGGGCAACATGGAGAAACCTCAACTCCACCCAGAAAAAAAAAAAAAACACAAAAATTAGCTGGCCGTGGTGGCATACTCCTGTGGTCCCAACTACTTGGGAGGCTGAGGTGGGAGGATTGCTTGAGCCTGGGAGACAGAGGTTGCAGTGAGCCAAGATCACACCATTGCACTCCAGCCTGGTTCAACAGAGCGAGACCCTGTTTCAGAAAAAAAATTGTTTTATTAACATTTTTTAAATTAGCCTTTGGAATTTTGGTCTGTTAGATTCAGTTATGGTGAAAAAGGTTTTCAGTTTTATTCTCTTGCAGTAGAGCAAGAAGTACCATTATACGTATAACTGTTTTACTGTAAAATTTTTTGAAAGGAATGGGTATTTCCAAATCACTAAGTCATTTTATTCCCATCTCCTTTTTACTGTAAATCTATTATTTATCTGTCTTGTAAAGAATTTAATCTGGCCTTTCATTTACTTAGTTTTTTGTTCCTTGTCAACTCATTCTCTTCAAGGTTCAGCCTGGAGAAGGAAATAAAGCTGCTTTCAATGACATGAGAGCCTTGTCTGGAGGTGAACGTTCTTTCTCCACAGTGTGTTTTATTCTTTCCCTGTGGTCCATCGCAGAATCTCCTTTCAGATGCCTGGATGAATTTGATGTCTACATGGTATTGTTAAATTTTAAATTCTCTTTTTCATTTTTTTGTTTGTTTGAAACATGTATTTCTAAAGGAAGGAAATCTTTCTTTAGTTTTACCCCTAACAGGAAAGATCCTGCCCTGACTCTTTAGTCTGTGACCAGTAGTGGGGAAGAACTAAAGAACTAGAGTTCTCTCCCTTGCTTCTAGGCACACAGTAACCCTAGAGACCCTGGAGGGGTCCTCCTCTTCTCGCCCAGCATGGATATCCGTGCCTTCCATCATATCTGCGTTTTCTCCCTCACCCTCTCTCCCAGCTTATTTTCATCAACCCATAAATATGTTCAGACTTTTTGTTTTAATACAAAATTATAACCTGTTCACCACCCTGGCTTTGACTCACCCTAGCCACTGTTTACTGTTCCTTCATACCCACACATTTCAGAACAATGTACAGAACATAAGCGAGCAAGAACTTTTGAATTTCCAGTTAAAAAGCATAGGATTTGAGACCTACCTCTGACAGGCAAAATATCTCTACTTATTGGGTCTCAATTTCTTCATCTACAAAACAATATTATTACCAATTCCTACCTCTCATGGTTAGAGTGAGGCTCAAATGGTGTCTTTCATACATTATACTTACTGTGGTTCAGGCATATAGTAAGTTCTCATAAATTAGCAATTATTTTCTTCTTCATATCTCATTGTTTGCTCAATCTACTGTAATCTGGATGTAGATGACACTACTCTAGCAAAACTTGTTTAGCAAAGGTTATAAATGAGCTTTAATCTTACCTTATTTTTTGAAGTATTTGACACCACAGACCTATCCTCCATCCCTTAAAATGTCTTCTTACCAGCTGCCACCCTCTCTTTCCTGGTTTTCCTGTTTTTCTATTATTTGTTCTTAATCTGCCAAGCTGCCTCCCCTAATTCTGTTGCCCTTAAACGTTTGAGATCTTTGTTTGCTTGTTATAGTGTTGTTGATTTTCCTGAATTCCATATCCTACTTCCCCCTACAAATATACACATATCACAGTCCCCAAAACTACTACCTGCGTATGGACAGATACCTATCAACTCATAGCACCACATCCTGACATCTCTCCTGTACTCTAGACCCAGATGCCCTACTACCTATTAGACATCACCTGGTAAACCACCAATATCTGAAATTCAGCAGCCCCGAGGTTGAAAGTGCCTTCATCTCAAAGCCTCTTTCTTTTCCTGAATTCCCTACCTTGATTAATGCAAACTGTCATTTCCAGCGCAGTCACCTACCTTTGACATCTGTGATTTACCTTTGATTCTTCCTTGTTCAAGTCTGACCTCTGTCCGCTTCTCCTTTAAGACCGCTCTTTGGTCTCTGCCCTCTTCTCCTTTCTCACTGATATTCTTCCTCTCATCCCCTTATCTTCGCCTCATACCTGTGGTGATAGCCTCTTCTCCGGACTCCCAGGCTTGCATGTGGCTCCTTCTTCGGTCCGTCCTCCACCATTTTGGCAGGTTTACATTTCTACAGTTGATCTGATGGTGGTCATTCACCTATGTAAAACCCTTTGGAGGTTATTATATATGGAATAAATGTTTAATTCTGTAGGGTAGCTTTGAGACCCTTCATGATATCGTACCTGCCTGCTTTTTTCAGCTGTTCTAAGCTATTTGTAATTCTCCAAACATGGTGCCTCTGCCTGGTATGCCCTCCTTAATCACATGTCACTCTACTCATCTTTCAGGACATTGTTCAAATGCCACTTTTATGAGACTTCTGTGACCACCATACCCTATCAGGCAGGATGAGGAACTTCTCAGAACTTCCTTTGCACCACCTTACATCAACTCATAATATATATTACTTTTATACTTTTATTTAAGATAAAAATATAAAAATGCTTTATATTATTATATAATATTTTATACTGTTTTTTATTCTGTTGCAGTTGCCCATTTTTATATCTGAATCCCCTACCAGATTGTAACCATTTTGAGGTTATCAGCTATGTCTGAGATGTTTATGTCTCCTAATGCCTAGTCTATAATGACCGTTTAGTAAGTGTGTATTCGTGAATCAGAATTTATACCTGTGAGTGCTGTATAATAGTTCAGTGTCAATTTTTTTCTATGATACTATTGCTGAAAATGGGTTAGATATTCCTCCAAGAATTGTCTTCAGAGCTAATCACGAGTCATAGAAGATGATTATTCTTTCCATGCAGTGTTTTTGTCCAGAATGGTGCTGTGCAGTCTTATCACTCATCTTGTATGTCAGATTTAATTCTAAGCAGCTCCTTTCTCTTTCAGAAACTTAGAGCTTCTTAATCAGAGTGGCACTTTGCCCCAATGAAATTATTCAGAAGAATGTATCCAAGTTCTGTGAGCTAATCCAAGGAAAACAAATTTTTTTTTGGTACTTTGGCAGTTTTGTTATAAAATAATAGGCCTCTCACAGCAGATATGCCTGATGGAATTGTTATAATCAGAGCCATTGAGCAATATAGCCAGGATGTGTATCCCATTTTGACTCCACAGCCCTTGTTCTAAATCACCATGCTGTATTGCCACATACAGTTTTATTTTTTATTTATTTACTTATTTTTTTCAGGACACAGTCTCGTTCTGTTACCCAGGCTGGAGTGCAGTGGCGTGATTTCAGCTCACTGCGACCTCCGCCTCCTGGATTCAATTGATCCTTGTGACTCAGCCACCTGAGTAGCTGGGATTACAGGTGTGCACCACCATGCCCGGCTAATTTTTGTATTTTTTGTAGAGACTGGGTTTTGCCATATTGGCCAGGCTGATCTCGAGCTCCTGGCCTCAAGTGATCCACCTGCCTCAATCTCCCAAAGTGCTGGGATTAAAGGCATGAGCTGCTGCGCCCGGCACCACATATAGTATTAAATTAAGACCTTTAAAATATACATGTTCATATGTCAATGATTTCAACTTTTAGGAATTTTCAAGGGAATTGAGGAACACTTTGATTTTCTTTTACTGTTACTTAACTCAGAAAATGTAGCCACAGGTCTAGACCATTTAATCCCAAAACCTATTATAACGAAGCATTATTCTTTGTCTATACCCTGATGTGCTATTTAACTTATTTAAAGATATAATTGAGAAATTGGTCTGTAAGTTCAAATTGGTTTATATTGTACAAATGGTAGAGGTAATGGGGAGAGGCAGACTTTTTAAAACTTAACCTTTATCATTGAGGGAAAATTTGAGAGACTTAATGAATTTGAGACTAGCCACTTTTGTTACCATTACCCTGACTCATTAACCATTACTGTACAAATTAGATTTATTCTCTAACATTTAGTTGTGTCAGGAGAATATTTTCTGATTATTTCAATTGCTACACGTATTTGAGGGAGGGGGCTGTGTATACAAATATTTTGACTATAGAAATTACCTGAAAGACATATTTATTCAGTTATTGTCCCCGAAGAGTTTCTCTTTTTTCCCTTAGAGATGGGCTTTCACTCTGTCATTCAGGCTAGAGTACAATGGTGCGATCATAGCTTACTATACCCTTGAGTTCCTGGGCTCAAGTGATCCTCCTGCCTCGGCCTCCCGAGTAGCTAGGATGACAGGCATGCACCACCATGCCCAACTTTTTTTTTTTTTTTGGTAGAGACAGGGTCTCGCTATTATACACAGGCTGGTCTCGAACTCCTGACCTCAATTGATCCTGTGACCTCCACCTCTCAAAGCATTGGGATTACAAACATGAGCCACTGCACCCAGCCAATTTTCTCCTAATAGTTTCTGGTATTTCTTTTCCAGTATAATAGATTTCTTGGACATCATAGATAATGTAATGACTGATCCCTGGATGAAAATCCAGGAGCTTGTATCAGCCCACAGAATGCTGCTTTTACAGAAATGTGACTTACACAATAGCAATCCTAACTTTTGCCTTTGTTTTTCAGGATATGGTTAATAGGAGAATTGCCATGGACTTGATACTGAAGATGGCAGATTCCCAGCGTTTTAGACAGTTTATCTTGCTCACACCTCAAAGCATGAGGTAACTTTTTAAAACTTTCTAGATACATATCAAGTATATAAAAGGGGGAAAGAAATCTTTTACAATTTTAATTTTTAAAATACAAATACATACAAGACCAATGAAAATAAAAATTAGCTCCCCTACTGGTTCAGGAGATTTGGGATGTTTTTCTCTTTTTGAGATATTTAAAATTTTACTTGTATTACTTCCCTTTCATAACTGAAGCAAGTTGTTACTATTCTGTTTTGAGTCTGCTTCTTTGTAGTTATCATGACAAACTAAAGTAATATAATTTTAGTAATTCTGTTTGGACTAAAATGATTTATGATTTCCCTAATCTTGCCTCTTTTCTCTTGGTGACTTACAAATGTCAATCTTTCTAAACAAAGAGCTCTACTCTGCTGTCAGTCAGTATTTATTGGGTGCCTACAATTGTCAAGCACTATGTCACTTAGAGTTAATATTCTGTCTCTAAAGTGGCCATGTGATTATATGGGGATCTAAATTTGTGATTGGGAATATCCAGGTAACTCCTTCCTTGCTAGACAATAACAGAAATTTAAAATAGTTGATATATAAATCTCTTTCATTTTCTTTTCCTCCAAACTGAAAACCCATGGGATCTAGCAGGAATTAATTTTTAAAATGGAAAACAAATTATTTCCTTATTGCAAATGATGTTTCTCCTAGAACTCTAGATATTAGATATATCCCAGATAAAAGCCAAATATTTAGCTTTATATTTTCATGAGGTAATATTAGAATTTTTTTTAATTGGTAAAAGGTTTCTTGGAAATTTGAGTAATTGATTTTGCTTCTTCTAGTTCACTTCCATCCAGTAAACTGATAAGAATTCTCCGAATGTCTGATCCTGAAAGAGGACAAACTACATTGCCTTTCAGACCTGTGACTCAAGAAGAAGATGATGACCAAAGGTGATTTGTAACTTAACATGCCTTGTCCTGATGTTGAAGGATTTGTGAAGGGAAAAAAAATTCTGGACTCTTTGATATAATAAAATGAGACTGGAGGCATTCTGAAATGAAAGAAACTCCTTTATATATCCAACCACAATCAAACATATAAATAAGCCTGGAAAACCAACTACAACCTGCAATTTAAGATTACTATTACTTTAAGAAAATCAATTTCATAGTATTGGTTTTAAATCTTTTTAAGTTTTTTTAATACGATCTATTTTTATAGGTTCTTTTTCAGAAGTAAAATTTTGTACATATATACATGTACATATCTGTTTAGTTTGGGTTCATTTCTATAACATTTTGTAAGAAAATAAAAGTTTGAGCACCTGATTATATTTAGTTTTGCTTTTCCAGATATTACATTCTATAGTTACCAAAAATGGTTGAAGGGAGGGATTTCTCATTGCAGAGGGTGGGGTGCAAGGGAATAAGACACTTGTACGGAACACTGAAGCTTTGCCAACTTCTACACATGCCTTTTTTGCAGTCCTTTAACTGTCCACCCTACCAAGAGCTTATAACCAGTATCAGAACTGGATAATGACGCAGTTTTTCACTCTGACCTCCATCATGCTTGCCTGATTTAAAAGCCCTCAGTTTGCAGTCCAGGGACTGTTCAGGCTTGTCCTCAGCTGAGAGGACACAGGCTAGAGGGACTGTGCAGAACCAGGCTGGGAGAAGGGCTGGGAAAACTGGGAGTGGAGGGTGGATCCTCATGGAGCAGGAGAGTAGCTCATGGCTCCAGGAGCCTGAGGCCATGCAGTTGATGGTGAGCTGACATCAATTCTAAGACTCATCCTAATTGAGGGGTGTTAAAAAGTGTGCTGCTTAGAATGACCAAATATAGTTATTGTAAAAAATGATATTTATGAACTTTTTATTTTAGAAAACATGAATTTTATTGCTCCCTGTATTATTTGTTTGATACTAGGATTCATGCTAAACTTTTTAAGAATGTATTGGATATCAAGAAGCATTCCTTACATTAGTAGCAATAAATATTAGAATAAATATGAAATTGAACTATTTTCAGAAAAAGGGCAGTATATTAAGAGCAGGGACTGTTCTCTAGTTATTGAGGAAAACTGGACTTTGTTTGTGTTTTTGGTGGAGGAAGAAGTTTAAGATACTTTAGTCTTAAATTGAGGTTTGCCAAATGAGAAGTTCAAAAACTTGGGCTTTCTAATCAGAATTTCCAGGAGGAGGAAAGTGTGTGCTGAATATTTTAAACATTTCCCACTGATCATACAAAGTCTGATTTTTAAATTTACACTTATAATGCCTTTGTATTAAAATTATTTTTAACATGTGCTTTTCCAAATTAAAAATGAAGTAGAGTATACCAAATGCATAAACTTTCATTAGCTAAGGAACTCATGTCTGAATTTTGTTGTAGTTTTGAATGTTGTGCTCTTTCATACAGAATGGGAAACATAATCCTCAGGTATCCCAGCATCTCTTGTTGAATTGAAGATTATTCATTGCTTTGGCCTCACAAAGTTTTGATTTCAACTATCATAAGTGAAAATATCTTCCTTTAATGTTCTAAGTAGTGATAATATTACTAGAATGAAAGAATAAAAAGAAATTGTTCTTTTAAAATATGTGTAACTTCTAAAAATAAAACTTAAAATTTATATGTATTAAGGTCATGCTTTTGTGAATTGGGGAAAGTAATTGACTAAATTGATCCTCCATGAATCGTGACCTAAATACATCACACAGGTGACTCTTCAACCCCTAGTTTGTCATCAATGCAGCTATCACTGAATGAAGTTCCAGAAAATAATAAAGGCTTACTTGGATCTTAAATCTTAACCTTCTGAAATCTTTGGGAGTAGAAATGATTAAAATCATTCTTAAAGTGACAAATGTGATGAGTTTTCATAAACCAAAGTGTAAATAATATAGTTATTCAAATTAGTGATCAACACTAAAGATTCAGTAATTGCCTTCTTAAATATTTTCCAAGTTTTCGTGTCTCATTTCTTCCATTTCCTAGTGCTTTTTTGTTTTGCGGGGGCAGGGGGGCATGTCTTCCTCATGTCTGGGCTGTTTATGAGACCAAAATGTTTAAATTCTGTGTAGAAAGCTGTTGGCTGGTAGTCATGAATTGGATTAGAAATGTTGCCGACTCTGATGAAAACCAAGTGGTCTAGAATATCTGATTAAAAGTTCTCCTGAGTGCAAACTAGATGCAGGGTGTGGGGGAGAAAATGTTTATAAACTTTGTGCTGGGGCAATACTTTTTTGGTTACATTTATGACTTAGCTATGCATCTACATGTATGCCTTCTACTTTGACCAGTTCAGATTTTCAGGAGAACTTGGTTTGAAATTTGCAGTCCTAAAAGTGTAGTTACCAGTGTTTCATGGCTTGAACTGAATGCCCATGGACTTGAAGATATATCAAAATATTTATAGGAACAGGTTTTGTTACTTAAGGGTTGGCAAAGTAATAATGTGGATATAAATAAGCTGTTTCTTTGAGTCAGCAAATAAAGTTTTCTAAAGCATATATAATATTGATAGTTAGCATGCTAATTTTGGCATTGGCGTCTGGATAGAATCCATGCAAACAGGAGTGGCCTGAGTGTACTCACTAATTATAGCAAGCTTAACAGGGCTTTTTCTGCCTAATTTTTCTCCAGTTTGAAAATGTAGAGATTAATTCATTAAAAAATGATTAAGTTCCTGCCATGAGCTAGGGACTTTTTTAATTACTGGGAAGACTGTAGTACTTAAAATGCTACACACATATTTAAAAATACTAAATCTGTCCTCATGGAGTTTGAAATCTAGTTAGACAAGCAATACCGTACATAATCTCAGTGACTGGTAATTCTTATGAATAATAATAAAGCAGTGTAAGGATTTGAAAGGGCAGAGAGGACTGAGTTTTGTTTGTTTGTTTGTTTGTTTGTTTGTTTTTGAGACAGAGTCTTGCTTTGTCGCCCAGGCTGGAGTGCAGTGGTACGATCTTGGCTCACTGCAGCCTCTGCCTCCCAGGTTCCAGTGATTCTCCTGCCTCAGCCTCCTGAGCAGCTGGGATTACAGGCGCACGCCACCACACCCAGCTAATTTTTGTATTTTTAGTAGATACAGGGTTTCACCATGTTGGCCAGGCTGGTCTCAAACTCCTGACCTCAGGTGATCTGCTTGCCCTGGCCTCCCAAAGTGCTGGGATTACAGGCATGAACCACCGCACCCGGCCAGTATTTTGAATGGAGTGTCAAGGCTACAGAAGGCAATATTTGAGCAGAGGCCTGAAACAAGTGATAGAACAAGCCATGAGGAGGAAAATGTGCAAGGCAAAGCTTCCAGGCAGAAGAAATGAGTGCGTGGGGCTTGAGATAAGAATGAACTTCATGTCTAGGAATTGTAAGGCCAGTGTTGATAGAGCTTAGTGAGGAAGGAGGATTGGTAGGGGGTGAACTTCAGAGGTAGGCAGACCGAGATCATTGGAGGCCCTAAAATTATGGTAAGTAACAGACCTGGTGTATGCATTTTAAAAGAATCCTTTGGCTGCTGTGTGAATAGATTAAAGTGGAGCAAACATGGAAAGAGTATGAGCAATTTGGAGACTTGCAGTGGTCCAGGTAAGGGGTCATGGTGACTTGGACTAAGGTGGTGGAGACAGAAACATTCAGATTTGAAATAGAGAGGCAGCAAGACTTCCCGATGAGAATACTGGAGTTGTGAGAGAGGAATCAAGGATAATTTTCTTGGGGCCTGAGGCCTAAATAGCTGGATGAATAATGATTCATTCACAGAGGCAGGAACAATGCAGAAGTGGAGGGAGTAACAGACTGCCCTGTGGAGAGATGAAAGCTCTGGGCTGAGTATGCAACCTTGAGGTAACTGTGTGAATACTAACCAGCTAGTTAATCACCTACTTGATGGGTAACTTTACATTGGTAAATGTAAGAACTTGGAAAATAATAATATAACTTAGGATACTGAAGACCTGCAAAATGCTGGGAAAAAATTCAAATTGCATGCCCAAACTATGTGGGAAACTTAATTGTTTTCGAAAAAGAAGCTCAGGAAACAGTTTCTCATTTTACTTAGAAGCTCTGATTGACCATTTCTTGCTAGACCCCTGTACATCCTTTGCCGTGAGGCTCTCTGAAGATGTCTTTTTAAGCCTGTGCTTTACTTCTTGATGTGATTTCCAACCGTGTG